>NC_000015.10:88562490-88714005 GCF_000001405.40 Homo sapiens | reverse complement strand
GGATTATCACAATAGCTGGCATTTAGTCACACTTCCTCCTGCTAATATTCAATGCTTATACAGCTTTCAGTATGTGCCGGCACTGCTCCAAGCACCTTATGTGCATTCACTCATTTAATTCCTGTAATAATCCCCTGTGAGTTGGCTACTATTATTATAATCCCCTTTTTACAGATGAGGAAACTGAGGCACAGAGAGGTTAAATAACTTGCCCGAAGCCACATGGCTAGTGCATGCTGGGATTCGAACGCATGTCTGGCTCTGACATCCATGCTATTTCCATCATATGCACACACACTTCACACTGCAACTTGTTCCTCAGCACCCTTCATTCTTCATTCCCTTCATTCTTCATCACTTTTTATTTTGTCTACAGAATTTGTCACTCTCCAACTTGCCATATTCATTACTTATTGTGTCTCTTATTGACTGTCTTCTCCTGCCCTTAATGAATGTAAGCACCAGGAGAAAGCAGCTTCTTTGGTGCACTGATATGTCCCAGGCGCCTAGAATTACATCTGCAAACAGTAGGCACTCAATACATACTGAATGAATGACTCACTAGATGAAGAGGCAGAGCGTTCATAGGGGTTGAGTTGTATTAAGTTTGTTCGTTAATTTGTTCAAATGTTCATTTGGTTGAGTGATAGGTCAGGGACTCAAGCTCAGATTTGACTCCAAATGCTCCACTTAATCATGCTTTGCTGAAGCTGAACTTTCCAGGTGCCCTTTTGAGAAACCAAAAAGCAGCAGCAAATGTTTCATAAGAAGGGCTGAGTGGAAATTTTGAAAGTTGCTATGGACCTAAAGGAATGTGCCCCCATATGGAAATCAATATGAAAGCCACACTAAACCAGTAAAAGCATAAGGGCGTCCAATAAAATTCTGATTTTTCCCATGATGGGGACTTTGATGCTTTCCTTAGAAATAATCAAAATTCCAACATTTTGGCCAGGTGCAGTGACTTGTGCCTGTAATGCCAGCCCTTTAGGAGGCTGAGGCCAAAGGATTGCTTGAGCCCAGGAGTTCGAGACAAGTCTGGGCAACATAGCAAGACCCTATCTCTACAAAAAGTAAAATAAAAATTAACCAGGTTTGGCAGCGTGTGTCTGTGGTTCCAGCTACTTGAGAGGCTGAGGCGGGAGGATCGCTTGAGAACAGGAGGTTCAGGCTTTAGTGAGCCATGATGATGCCAGTGCACTCCAGTCTGAGCAACAGGGTGAGATGCTGTCTGTATATAAAACAAAACAAAAGAAAAGAAGATAACATGTTTTAAAAGACATTTGTGTGTATGGGTCCTGCTGTACTGATGTGCCAAGCACAAGCTCAGCTGCCTATTGGGTGATCCAGGTTTGTGCACAAGAAGCGAATGTGATTCAACACTGTTGGAAGGGTTGCTGTGTGTCACAGGCTGAGCTGGGCACAGAGAAGACACAGTCCCTGTCCTCCAGGAGCACAGTCCAATAGAAAACACCAGAACTCAGCACCCACCAGACTGGTGAGTGATAGAAAACACCAGAACTCAGCACCCACCAGACTGGTGAGCTTAAGGACAAGGCATGTGGGGAACACAAGGGTTTGGAGTCCACACAATGCTTCAGCGAAGTCACCCAGAAGAGGGAGGGGACATTTGAACAAGGTCTTCCCACTATTCATGGTCCCTGAGGTTTGTCCATTTGGCAACCAGCTTTCAGCAGCCCTGGCAAGGACTGAGGGTTGACGAGGTCTCCTCCTGAGGAAGGCTGTGTCTGGATGGGGGTGGGGATGCTACGAGGGGGCACAGGGCTACTCACCTCTGATGGGGATCCTGTAGGATCACATGGTGTGGGATGATGTTGACTGCATGACAGCCTTCTGGGAAACTGGCACCACCTCCAGCCAGCCTTCCCTGAATTCCACCACCTTTTCTGCCTTAACTCAGCTGTCCCTCCACTAGGCTCAGTCTCAAGTCTCCAGGCCCTACTGGACTGTGCACCCCGTGGGGTAGGCCCTACGTTACCCACCCCTGTAGAGCCCCACCTCACCCCAGCACTGTGCCCCACGCACTGCCTTCAGATGAGGATGCTCCCAAGATTTCAGCTGGATAGGCTGTGTTTGTCCTTATTCAACCCCAGAAGGATTGGTGAATTTCCTAACAGCTAACATTCACTGAGCACTGGACCCATGCCCACGCTGTGCTAAGCACTTTGCTGCTCTATCTCAATCCTCACATCTCTCTGAGCATGCAGGTGCTGGCGTTATTTCCATTTTACAGATGAAGTCGCAGAGGCAGAGAAATTAGCAACTTGCCTGAGTCACACAGATTGCAAGGGACACTAGAACTTGATGGCAGACAGTTGACTCTGGATCAGCCAGGCCGGCTACACTCTCTCATATGAGCCCAAGAGGGCCCTGGGGGTGTGAGGATGGGACTTGGGAGGGGCAGACATGAGGACATCCTAGCCATGTCTCCACTACTTCAACTTATGTTCGCTCTGGAACCAGAGTGTGGGCACGTGCCTGTGGGGTCTTTCTGCTCCCATCCTTGGGTGGGGGTACAGGCAGGCCCCTCGCACCAACCCTGCCCCCTTGCTCCCAGCTCTCCCGGGTCCCTCCATCAAACTGATTTCCATCAGGTTTTCCTTCTAACCATCTGGCCCATGCTCCAGACCTTTCTTGAACCATCCTCCACCTCTTCCAAACTGCCGGGAATTCTCCGGTTCCCCAAGGTCCTCACACCACAGTAATGTATTCAAGACATCTATTCTTCTTCCTTAGGTTGGGGCTTACAAAAATGTTGCATTAAGACAGAGATGAGGGCCGGGCATGGTGGCTCACGCCTGTAATCCCAACACTCTGGGAGGCTGAGGCAGGCAGATCATTTGAGGTCAGGAGTTTGAGACCAGTCTGGCCAATATGGCGAAACCCTACCTCTACTAAAGGTACAAAAATTAGATGAGCATGGTGGCAGGTACCTGCAATAGCTACTTGGGAGGCTGAGGCAGGAGAATTGCTTGAACCCAGGAGGTGGAGGTTGCAGTGAACTGAGATCATGCCACTGCACTCCAGCATGGGTGATGGAGTGAGACTCCGACTCAAAAAAAAAAAAAAGACAGAGATAAGGTTGGGCATGGTAGCTCACACCTGTAATCCCAGCACTTTCAAAGGCCAAGGGGCTGGGAGGATTGCTTGAGCCCAGGAGTTTGAAACCAGCCTAAGAAACATAGTGAGAACATAGTGAGACCCTGTCTTTAAAAAAAAGACAGAGATGAGAATGTTAATTTTGAATCTTTTTGGTGGAAGTAAAATTTTAGTGGGGTCTTTTTCCAACCCTGCCCTCCTCCCCAAGCCAATTTAGAGCACCTAAATAGAGCTGTGTCCTCCAGGGCTCTTAATGTTTCTGTGCTGGTCTCCTGGTTCTCTCACCATTTTCCTGCTGGAGCGGCATTGGCTCGGGCTGATGTGGCAGCCACGTTCCAAGGTCTCAGCACCCCCTTCCATGCCTGGCCCTAGGGGAGCTGCCTGATTTAGGAAAAGATTTCAACGTGGGACCAGCTCCTGTTGCCTCAGAAGCCCCAGGCCTCTAGGGACCCACGGGACCAAGCTTAAGCTCTTTCTTCTCCAAAACTCGAAGATTCTGGCAATCTCAGGGAAGGATTTTATATTCTGTCTCCTGCTTTTCTTAATAGCAAACGACGGAAAATGCTAAAAACCCTGTGCTCAGCAAAACCTCCCTCTATAGGAAATAGCAGAAAACCACTTTCTGGGATGAACACCAGGCCAGCTTAGGTGTTTCTTGGAGCCTCTGCTTGGTTACATAATGCCTGATGGCCCAGCCCAGGCGAGCTGACACCCTGGAGCTCACAAGCCCCCTTTACTGTACAAGCCCCTTGCTCTAAGCTGGTCAGGCCCCTGGCAAGGCACTGGCTTTCGCTGTGTTTAACCTTCATCTAGTTAATACCTGCTTCTCCCTGTGCCCCTTCCCCCCCACCCCTGGGTCCTTTATTCATGGAAAAACAACAGTTTCCATGATGAGCTCAGTAGTGAGGCAGAAACGGAACCTGTCTGGGCCTTCGCTTCCCCATTGGATGGGTGAGGATTAAGTGACCTGTGGTTTTCACTTGGAGCCAACATTCCATGATTCTATGGTTGGAGGAGAGCTTCTCCTTGTTGTTGAGGCTGCAGACCATGGCTGAGGGGAAAGGTTTCCGGGCAGAGCCATCAGGACCCCTCCTAGCTGGCTGTGACTGACTAATCCTGTCCTCTCCCCAGCCCAGCAATGGCACACACATACACACAGGGTATCAAACAAGCATCTGGGTTTCCCTCTTTCTTTCATTCATCCGCCCACCCATTCATCCACCTGTCCATTCATTCACTTATATACTCATTTGTTCCATGAATATTCATTGAGCACCCACTAGGTCCTGTAGACACGGAAGTGGTGGGATCCCTTCCATGCCCTTGAACTCACGGACTAGAATGGGAGCGCAGCCTGTAGATTAAACAGGAGAGTGCTGAGTGCTAAGGTCTAGGGCAGTGGTCCAGCAGGGGGCCATGAGGACAAGAAGTTTCCACGACATCTGATGCTCCTCAACTGACGCTCACTCACTCTGGACCCAGAGTATAGGCATATCTCTGGGAGGTGCCTTAAGCACTTTAGAGATGATCTGTTGAATCCTGTGCTAAGATCAGTCAGCCAAGGTCATGAAGAGCAAGCAAAGTGGGGAAACCGGAACCAAACCCAGGGACCTTAAGTGTTATCGAGCTGGTGATTCTTACCTTGAGAACAGCACACAAAGTTAGTGAGGCTCGGGGCTCTAAAATAAGATGGGGTGAGAAAAGCACTTGGGCCTTATTGTAGAATTCTAGTGCCAACATCATTGTCTATTTCAACCTCCTCTTGGCAGGCAAGGAAACTAAGGCATAGCTTGTTCAAGTCAGTTGCCCAGGGTTCCTCAGCAAGGAAGAGGCTAAGCTAAGAGAGTGCCCAGGTCTCCTGACTCCAGTCTAGTAACTGGGAGGCTCTGGTTCAGGCACAATGCTGTTACTGCATACATCTCCACTTCCTAGAACTTTGCCCGGGAGGTCTTCAGTCAGACTGCCTGGCTGCAGCAAATGCTGCTGTGCTAGCAGACAGGGGTGAGCTCATCCCCTGAGGCGGCGTGGCAGGAACGTGGTGGCAGCCAGGGCTTCGGCTCCCGTCTGAAATCATGGATGAAAATAGCTTGCCTGCGGTCTATTGATACCCAATACTCTATCATCAGATTGAGGAAGTCAATTAAGTATCTGGCTTTCCCCCAGGGGCCTGAGAATCGCACAAAGCCCAGAGAACAGTGGACAACAGAAACAGGGCTTTGGTTTCCCATTCATAACTCCCCCAAAATCAGAGGCTGCCGGCTGCACTTTCTGGTCTGCAGGCAGCATTAGGTGGCTCCCTGGGACTGGTGACAAGAAGCCAGCTCTCCAGTGTGAAGAACGGGCTCAGACTCAGATTGCAGAAACATCTGGCTCTCCTGGAGAAAGCACAGGAAACAGCTCAGGATGGGAGGGTCCTGGGATTGCCCTGGAACTTCCTGTGGGCAAAGGGGCAGAGGCCAGAGGACCAGGCTGGTATGAGTCGGGAGTGACTGTGGCTGATTCCAAATGAAACCTCAGGGACATTGGTTAATGTTCAGACCAGGGCAGAGGTAGAAGTGCCCAGGGGAATGCAGACTCCTCTCCTGCCACATGTGAAAGGCAAGAATGTGGACCATCTCCCCCCCAGCTCGATGCTGATCCAGGTCAACCAGCAAGGGACAGAATGCGTGGTGCTCCAAGCCTCAAGCCCTACCCTGCCTGCAGTCAAGCTGTGCCCCTGTCCATGGAGAGCCTGGCCCTCTGTGGACTTATGTCTCATGCAGGCCACCTCATTACTCAGCCAGCTCTCCTTCCACCTTTGCCCCAGTTGTCCTTTGGGGACCTTTGGGGATCAAATTTTCTAGGCTGGGTGGTGATAACTTGACAGCTCAGGGATAATATGCTGGGCCAGAAGTTTTCCGTCTTGAGAATCCAACATCAGAATCACCCGGATGGCTTTTAAAATGGCCAACTAACATGAAAAAATGCTCAACATCATGAATCATCAGGGAAATGCAAATTAAAACCACAATGAGATATCGTCTTATCCCAGCCAGAATGGTCAATATTAAAAAGTCAGAAAACAATAGATATTGGCATGGATGTGCTGAAAAGGGAACATCTATACACTGCAGGTGCGAATTAAATCAGTACAAAACCTTTGAAAAATAGTATGGAGGATTCTTAAAGAAATAAAAGTGGACCTACCATTTGATCCAGCAATCCCACCACTGGGTACCTACCCAAAGGAAAAGAAGTCATTATATCAAAAAGACACCTGCACACATATGTTTATTGCAGCACAATTCGCAATTGCAAATATATGGAACCAACCTAAGTGCCCATCAACCAATAAGTGGGTATACACATATACACTATGGAATACTATTCAGCCACAAAAAGGAATGAAATAGTGTCTTTTGCAGCAACTCGGATGGAACTGGAGGCCATTATTCTAAGTGAGGTAATTCAGGAACGGAAAACTGAACACCATGTGTTCTCACAGGTGGGAACGGAGCTATGGGTATGCAAAGGCATACAGAATGGTATAATGGACTTTAGAGATTCAGAAGAGGGAGCGTGGTAGGGGACGTGGGATTAAAAAACTATATACTGTCCATTTTGGGTGTGTTGTACAAAATAATTTTTTAAAAAACTACATATTGGGTACAACGTATACTATTTGGGTGAGGGGTGCACTAAAATCTCAGACTTCACCACTAAGAAGTCCATCCATGTAACAAAAACCACATGGACCCCAAATGCTATTGACATTTTTTTAAATTAAAAAATAAAAATAGGCTGGGTGCAGTGGCTCACACCTGTAATCCTAGCACTTTGGGAGGCTGAGGCGGGCAGATCATCTGAGATCAGGAGTTTGAGACCGGCCTGGCCAACATGGTGAAACCCTGTCTGTACTAAAAATACAAAATTAGCTGGGCATGGTGGCGCATGCCTGTAATCCCAGCTACTCAGGAGGCTGAGGCAGGAGAATGGTTTGAACCCGAGAGGCGGAGGTTGCAATGAGCCGAGATCACACCACTGCACTACAGCCTGGGTGACAAGAGCAAAACTCCATCTAAAAAATAAATAAATATAAGTAAGTAAGTAAATAAATAAATAAAAGGGCTCCACCCCCATAGTTTCTGACTTGGTAAGCCTGGCCTGGGGCCTAAGAATCTGAATTTCTACTAAATCCCCAGGAGATGCAGATGCTGCTGGTTCAAGTAACTGCACTCTGAGACCCATGTGTAGGTACGACCGGATGAGGCAGGGACAGCTGCAGCTAACATAGCCAGAAACGGCCTCCCTGAGGAGGCAACATTCAGCTCCGACCTGAACGACAAGAAGGAGCCAGCTGTGCAAAGTCTAGGAGTTCCTAAACTCTTCTGGGCCTGGGGTGCTAGGGCAGTCTGGTGAAGCCTATGCATCCCTTCCCAGAAGGATGTTTGTAATTGCATTAAATTAATATACATGGGGTTACACAGGAAAATCATTATCTTGAAACCCAGCTCAACCCATGGAACCCCTGGTTAAAAAACAAAAACAAAAACAAAAAAAACCTGGGAAAAGAGTATTTGAGGAAGAGGGAATGGTAAGTGTGAAGTCCCTGGGTTGGGTGAATTCGGCAGGTTGGGGGAAAAGATGCTCAATGCGTGGAGCGAGTGAAGCAGAGGCTAGGTCCTGCGGTGCTTGTGCTTTGGGGATGGCTCTAGTCTATATTCCCAGTGTGCTGAACACCAACAAGGCTTTCAAATCTGCTTACAGATCTGCTTACCACGCCATCGGGGCAGGGTGGTGAGCAGATTCGTATTCTAAACCATCACTGTGGCTGCTGGATGGAGAATGGGATGTTAGGGGGACAAGAAGGGAGGCAGGAGACCCTTGGGAGCTACTGCAGGCCTCCAGGGCATACACATAGGATGCGATCTTCGACGCAGGGCAGGGAGAGGATCCTTCGGGGCCAAGAGGGACCTTGGAGGTGTAAACTGAGTGAAGTACCTATGTATTGGACACAGGCAACGGAGGACGGGTATTTGGGGTTAGTGTCTACTGCTGACTCTGTTACTAATTCACCACGGGCCCTAGGCTCAATCGCTCCCTGTCTCAGGTTCTCAGGCTCTAGTGGGTAAAAGGAAGGCTTGGACTAAGCTCCCACAGTGAGAGTCGAGAGAGTTCAGTGCAGGCCCCGCGAACCCTCTGGCTGGAAGTGCTGTTTGCCCGGGAAGCATGATGATGCCCACCGCCGCGGGCGCCCGAGTGGCTGCCCAGTCCGGTCTGCAGGCCTCGTCGCCTGCGGAGGGGGCGGCGTGGGGACCAAGCGGCCGCAGCGAGGCGGCAAGGCGCCTGGGTCCCGCTGCCAGCGGCCGGGGTAAATGAGAGCCCGAGGGAGCCCGGGCGGCGCGCGGCGGGCGGGATTGGCGCCCGATCCAGTCCCTCCCCTCCCCTCTCCTCTCCTCCCCTCCCCTCCTCTCCCCACCCTTTGCCTCCTCTTCCCTTCCCACCCCTCCCTTCCCTTTGCGTCTCCTCCTCTCCTCTCCCTTTTCTTCTCCTCCTCCTTCCTCATCTCCTGCCCCGCACCCCGCTCCTCTTGGCAGAACTGCTGGAAAAAAGGGCCGGGCAGAGGGGCAGACGGCGGCGGGCCGGCTCCGCGCCGCCAGCCCGGGCAGCGAACACTCAGGAGGAAAAGCTGCGCCCCCGTCAGCCTCCCCGCCCCTGCTGTGGGGTCCAGGGCCCCGACGCCCGGTGGAGGGGGCTCCCCACACCCACTGGACACCTGTTGGCCCCCTGCAGGGAAAATGCTTTTTCCCTCTTCACTCCCACCGACCCTCAATCCATGCTGACCTCCCTGAAATGGCAGACCAGCGAGGGCCTCCGAGAGGTTTCGTTATTTA
The DNA here is from genome assembly GCF_000001405.40 of Homo sapiens. Lineage (NCBI taxonomy): Eukaryota > Metazoa > Chordata > Mammalia > Primates > Hominidae > Homo > Homo sapiens. The sequence goes on along the minus strand of NC_000015.10, from coordinate 88,705,012 downwards.
ATCAACAAACTTTATTGAAAAACTGCTCCTCGCTGGCCCTATACGGGGTGGGCCCTGGGGACGACACCAGTTCGGACCCTGTTCCTGTCCTGGAAGAGCACCCAGTCTAGTGGTGGAGATACATATATAGGGGCATGAAATAAGCACCCACTGTTTGCCAGATCTTTGAAACACATTATCTATAATCCTTATGCTAAAGCCTCAAGTAGTAGTATCTCCATTTTACAGGTGAGGAGACAAAGACTATTCGCCATGGACTAAGATAATAGATGGATGAAATTTATATTCACAATATGTAAAACCCACAAGAGGTGACTATCTTAAAATACACAAGGATTCCTATAAACCCACCAAATGGCTACAATTTAAAAGACTGAAAGTATGAAATATTAATGAGGATGAGGAGCAACTGGAATTTTCATACGCTGCTGGTAGGAGTGTAAATTGGTACAGCCACTTTAGAAAAACGTTCAGTAGTGGAGATTAAAGCCAAACATTCAAAATTCCCGTGATGAACCAATTCCACTACCAACAGAATTGAGTGCTTATAGCCACCAAAAGACACGTTCAAACATGTTCATAGAAACTTTATTCATAATAACGCCAAACTGGAAACAACCCAAATGTCCATCAACAAGAAAAAGGGTAAATAAATTCCGCATAGGCATACAATGGAATATTACACAGCAGTGGAAAAGAATGACCTAGCACACAACCACCTAGATAAATCTGAAAGATGCCAGATATGAAAGAGAACTTACTGCATGATTCTGTTTATATACAGGTTTTTGAAAGCGAAACCAATCTAAGGTGTAGAGGTCAAAGTAGTAGTTGCCTTGAAAGGTAAATGGAGGGGACACAAGAGCCTTTGAGGGGCTGAAAAGCTCTAAATCTTAACCTGGGTGGAGATTACACAGGTGTGTCCATGTGTAAAAATAAATCAAGCTCCACAGTTAATATCTTGTGCAACATGTGTAGACTATACCTTAACTCAAACAAAGCAAAACCAAGAGCTTCTTCCAATCAACAAGGAAATGATAGGAAATACAAATGTGTAATGGGCAAAGGACACCCGTTGGCAATTTATAGAAAGAAAAGTCCTAATAGGTAGCAGGTATTTGAAAAGATCCCCAATCTCATTAGTAACTAGGCAAATATATATTGAACAAGATACTACTTGACATCCATCAGATTAGTAAAGCAGATGGTACCATGTGTTGGCCAGGGGATGTGGGAGATGGGGACTGGAGCACAGATGGGTGCTGGAAGCAGTTGGGCTAGCTGCCCTTGGTGATAAAGTGAGCGCACACCTTGGGACTCAGTTCCAACTCTCCGTGTTTGTACTGGCGAGCAAGGGGACCGGTACAAGGACATGTTCATGTGGTATTATTTATGGGAGTGCTGAGTTGAAGACAACCTTGATGTTAATCCGGGGAGGATTCAGTAAAATGTGGTAGGGTCACACTATGGGATACTGTGCAGCAGTCAGAAGCAACAAATTTCTAATGACATATGTGCATAGATGGATCTCTAAAACATAGAGACATGGCTGGACTTAGTGGCTCATGCCTATAATCCCAGCACTCTAGGAGGCCAAGGCGGGAGGATTGCTTGAGCCCAGGAATTGGTGACCAGCCTAGGAAATATGGTGAGACCCCCATCTCTACAAAAAGAAAAAATGTTTTTTAAAATTAGGTGAGCATGGTGATGTGCCTGTAGTCCCAGCTACTCAGAAGGCTGAAGCAAGAGAATCACTTGAACCTGGGAGGTCAAGGCTGCAGTGAGCTGTGATTGCATCACTGCACTACAGCCTGCATGACAGCACGAGACGCTGTTACACACACACACACACACACACCACCACCACCAGCACCAACGTAGAAACGTGGAACAAGTAAGTAACAGAACTAAATTGACAGCCTAGTACCATGTATGTAAGTTACGCCCATCACATACACACACCAGCTCTGTACATTTTTTAAAGATATGTGTATATGCAAAGGCATACATTAAATGTCTGAGTGTGTGCTTAAGAGAGGGAGATAGGAGATGAAGGAGAAAAACAAAGTAAAACAAAATATGATCCCATCATTCTACTTCAAGAGAGAAATGAAAATATATGTCTATACCTAGATTTGTATTTGGATGTTCAAAGCAGTTTCATTTTTAATGGCTAAAAACTGGAAACAACTCAAATGTCCCTCAACAGATAAATGGATGAACGAAGTATAGTAAAACCATACCACAGAGTGCCACTCAGTAATGAAAAGGAAAAACTACCGATACATGCAACGATATAGATAACTTTCCAAGTAATTACTGTTGAATGAAGAATCTAGACTGTATGATTTCATTTATAGAAACCTGTAGGAAATGCAAACTAATCTGTAATGACAGAAAGCAGATGAGTAGTTACCTCTGGAGTAGGGAGGGGCAGAAGGGAGGAATTATCAAGGAGCAGGAGGAAACCTTTATATGAATGACACCTTCATTATCTTGATTATGGTGATGATTTCTCAAGTGTAAAACTCATCAAACTGCAGACTTTAAATATGTGCAGTTTATTTATTTTATGTTAGGTAAAGCCATAAAAAAAGAAAATAAGAGGAGGGCTTTGCATTAACTAATGATTATAACATACCTGAATTGAAGGGTATAATGAACCCTTTCTAAGGATAGCATATAATTCTATCAAAAGGATATAATTAACTTTCTGTACCTGAAAATTAATAACTAACCAAAAACAAAAAAAAGCCCAAGCAAATAAAGCAAAAAACAAGGCTTAGATGGTAAAGTGACTTGCCCAGGCTTCACAGCTGAGATACTGGCTTCTAGAGTGTGGCTCTAGGAGCCTCTGCAAGACTCAGGGCTTGCATTAGTTTAAGGTGCATTACAGGCAACAACATGAGAGAAATGACCTGTACTTAGTGGGGGCAGAGATGGCCACATTCACCTACTCCTTAGGGGCTGTCTCTGGAAAATGCACCAGGGACTCAGAGATTGGTGGGGAGGAGGCAATATCTCTCTAGGCCCTCTGCATTCAGTCTTGAAGAGAGACACCTGGACAGATAGTCACAAGGCTGGGTGAAATCAGGGAAGGCTTCCTGTAAGAAGGGATGCACAACTTCACACATGTGTTTGGCCCAGAGCAAGCCCTCCCTAAATTTTATCTGTTTATTATAACTGTGCGCCCACAATATTAGAGAGAGAAGAGTGGAAAGGAACCAGGTGTTCCCGCCAGAGGGAGCTGTACCATCAAAGGCAAGGGGGCATGGTGGAGAGCCACAGATGCTTTGGCTTGGCTGTGATGGGAGTGGGGCAAAGTACAGGGTGAGTCCTGTCAGGGATGGTTGACATTCTCCTGAAACTTCCTAGATGACACATGGGCATAGGACATTTTAGGACAGGGGTGATAGAGGAGTCAGAGAGCACTGAGAAGCTCCCCCAACTATGCAGTTGACCTAAAGTCTTAGCCTTGCCAAATCTAATCTGCAGATGGCTTTAATCCATTAAGGTTTGTCCTCAGTGGTCTCTTGGCTTGCCTGACACATAGTAGGAGGCTGATATTAGATTTATCTCTTGCCTCCACCTTTCCCAGGACACTTACAGGCTCTGCCCAATACCCACCCACAGGGCCACTGTCCATACCGAGCCATGACCAGAAAGTGGGCAGGGAGGGCTGGACTGGGTCAAGTGGACCCTGAGTCCCAGGAAGGAGCCAGCCAGGGACAGGCACCCCTGGGCCAGGTGGAGGGAGGGGGTTGTTCCTGATGCCCGCCCATGAAAAAGCCACATTGTAGGGTCTTTGAGGGAGAATATATTTATTTTGTTTCCTGAGCTGTGTGAACAGTGTGTGGTGCCGCCTGGATTCAGTGGGCTCCATGTGGCTGGGGAGGGATTACATCCCCTCCCAGGTGGTATGATATAAAAAGGCCCCATTCAGCACTGGCCTGGAGGCCCACAGGCAGCCCTAGGCTCCTGTACCATCCCTTAGAGGAGCCTGGCTCCCCCCATCTCCCTGAGGCACAGGGCCTGGGGCTGTGTGTGGGGGACTATACCTATACTTGCCTATACCTCTTGGGGTGGGGGGCGCAGGGACAGCTGTTTGAGACCTATTCTCTGAGGGTCCCTGCTCACCTTCAAGTAGGATCCCTCAGGCTGCACACTCAAGAGAGGAACCAGCCAAGGGGGTGGGCATGGGACACAAGAGAGCCACTTTGTCCCAGCCTCTCATTCTCAAAGGGCCTCACATTTAAACCGTGATGTTACCTCTGAGGGAGGTTTCACATCCAGCCACGGAGACCGGCTGAAGGAAACCTTCATCAGACAACTTTAAATTCATGTTCATTGCTAGGCCACATCGCCTACGGGACCTCTGAATTAATATTTATACAATCCCTATGATTATTTTGTGAATAACACAGTTATGTTTCCTTAGGTTTTGTGTGAGTGAGTATGAGCGTGTGCATTTGTGTGTGTGCAGAGTATTAAAATATTTCATGGGAAATATTTTAAAGGCACCCTGATTTTTGTAACCCTGTTTTGACTTTTCTTTATTTGTCAGTGCTCTGGGATTTTCTGGACCTCCAAGGGCCCTTGGCAAAGGATGCCTGCATCCTGAGCATGTCTGGGCCCAAGAGGTGTAGGCAAGCAGACAGGGGGGCTGTGTCCCTGGTAGCCATGGGCAGGGGAGGGCTACATCCTGGCCAGGCATCCCTGGAGTCAGCAGAGAGGCCTGGAAGGGGTCCTTCCTCAAAATTGGCTGGCTTCCCAGATGATCAGGTCCCTGGTAGGGAACATGAATTTCAAGTTCTTGCTGGGCTATTCCTTGCCTCTCCTGTGTGTCAGGCCCCCAGGGCCAAGCATGGGCTGCCTCTCACTGGATTTTCCATACTCCCTCAGCCCTTCCTTCCTCACCTCCAGAGCAGAGCTTCTCTGACCCCAATTTGGAGGTGCTGGGAAGCCCCAGAAACCCTGGCTGCCATGGGGTCTTGATCTCAGTGGGAGTGAGCTCACTGCAGCTATCCCAGCCCTTGGCTGGCCCTCTGCCTTCTAGTTCAGCTCTGCGTCTGTCTCCCTGAGTCACCTTGAGAAATCACTGAACCTTGGCTCTCCCATCTGCACAATGGTGGATTGCATTGGTTGGTTTTTGAGGGTCTTCTCAGTTCAGACTTTCTGGAAAATCCAGGAACCTGGATGCAGATATTCATATAACTGGGTTCAGACTGACAAACCTAACACAGGCACCTGATTATGCTGGGATGCTGGTCGCTCCATGTGCCCCCATGCTGTCTAAAAAGAGTTTTCTCCTGGGCATTTGCATCCATCCTCCTGGGGAGGTGAACGATGTTGGGCTGATCTATAGCCCCCTCATCCCTTCCCCTCTTTGAAAAGAACCGTAGAGGAGGTCTTGGTGCCGACATTTGGGGTAGAGGTAGAGGGTGGGGAGGTGAGGCTACAGAGGAAGGGGTTGGGAATGGACTGCATGGGCAGGGGCTGGAGGGTGCTGAGCTCTGGAGAGCGCTGAGCTCCCAGCTGTCCATTGTAAAACTGGATCTGATTTCAGCTTATGGCTCAATGTGTCACAGGAGAGAGAGGACCCATCCGGAGGAGAAAGAGTGCCGTCTGCTCCCCAGCAAGGGGAGAGCTCTTTGTGTGCCAGCATGGCCCAGCACTTGCTGTTGGTGATGGTCTTGTACTCACCGGTGAAAGAAGGGTGGGCAAGGGGTTGGGGGTGGTCTGTGAGAGGCCTGGAACACCCAGGCTGGGCACAGCTGCCTGTGCCAGCAAGCTTAGCTGAGATAAGATCTTGTTCTGGGCTTGAGAACAGGGCTCTGGCTTCCCTGGAACGTGACCTACTCATCCCAGAGTAAAGTGGAGTGTTCTGGAAAGGATGGAAGGATGGATGGAGGGATAAAATTAAACTGATCTGAGGGAAGAATCCCTAGTGACTTTTTCTAGATGAATAACTTATATAAACAAGAGAGAGAAACTAAGCTTTATGTCCGTGTTTTGAGCCTGATGAACTAAGAGAACGAGCCTGAAAGGGATAGCTGCCAGTTGCGGGTTGGGGAAGGAGATGGAGGGGAGTGGAGATCAGGCAACGATGACTTGGTTTGAGACCTGTTGAGTTTGAAGCCAGGGAAGGAAAGCTGGGGAAACATCTGGCTTGCAGCTAGAGATTGGGAGAGGGACCCTTGTCTAGATGTGCATATAGATTTGGAAATTTCAATACATAGAGATGATAGTGAAGGTTCTACGAATGTGTCAGTCCTCAAAGGAGAGATATTAAAGCAAAAGAAGGGGAATGAAGGCAGGTAGATCCTTGAGGGTGTTCACGGTTTAGGAGCTGATAAGGGACATGAGGGCAGTGGAAAGGGAAGCATGAAGCCTCCGGAGAACCCGTGGAGAAGGGCATTACCCTCAACTCTTGTGGCGCTCAAAGGGAAGGAAAATGGAAAAAAACAAACTGGACTTGCTGTCTGGTGAATCCCAGGAGAGAATTTTGGTAAACTGTTGACAAGGGGAAGTCATGATTGAAGGGACTAAGGAAGGATTGTCTATGTTCCCTCTAGATTGTTGAGGCATCTTGCTTTGCACGGGTGAAACACTGATTGTATCCAGCCATCACATTTGCCACTTACAGTCATATAGCCTGAAATGTCTAAATAGGATTGTCTCAGGACAGGGTCCCTGGAAATAGAGCACGGGCTCTATCATGCATCATGTATCACTTGCTAGTGATAGTAAGAAAGAATTCTGTGCTATATGTTAGAAGATCTAGTTTCTGGTTCTTGCTCTGGTGCTAACCAGCCAGATCACTCAACCAGAGCTCTTTATCCAACATTAGTGAGTTACTTATCACTCCTTATCTTGTACTGCTGTTTCCATTGCACTCTCCCTAACTCAACATTATCTTATACATAGTAGCTGCTCAATAAATACATTTGCTGAAAGGATGGACAGATGAATGGCTAAGTGGATGAATGACAGGTTCTGGAGTTCAGTTGCCTATCTGTAAACCAAGGGATATGAAGTCAAGCTTCCATACATTTCCTCACACCTCAAATCATCTGTGGCTATGCTGTTTTGATCTAAGCAGAGTTCTTCCAAAGTTGCTTAGAACCTGCACACCTGGGCCAATCAGGCTTTTGTAGATCATTCAATGTAATATCCTTCTGAGCCATTGTCACATCTCCACGGCCTTTCCTTTATGATCGGTGAGAGGATCTTAGAAGATTAATACTAAGTATTTGTTGAATGAAAAAGAAATCATTTCCAATTATAACCTGACACATTTAAGGATCTATGGCATGTGGGTCTCATGGTAGACAACACGCTCTACAGTGTTTGCCAGCTGTTTGAAGATTATCCTACACAACGGGGCAGGATGTACTCCCATAGCCAGTTTCTGGTGTGACATCTGAATGTGGCTTTGCAGCTTTGGGCTTGGGCGTGTCCTTACGTCCATGAGGCCATCAACACAGCACTCGGAAGCATCATGTCTGGGCCCCTGCCACAGTGTAAGAGAGAAGCTGACAATTTGGAACATGCCCAGAGGCAAGTGGCCAGGATGGTGAAGGGTCTGGAAATGTCACAGGCGATGAATGGGAAAAGAACCGAGGGAATTCGCCAGAAGAGAGAGACACATGATAGCTGCCTGCAAAGACTTGAAGGGTTGTAACAAAAGGTGTGTCCAAGCTAACCTGGACTAGGGTTTGGCTTTTTCCCTACGTGGGCCTCCTGAGAACAGACCTGCCAGTGGCAGATATAAGTTACAGAGAGGCCAATTTCAGCTCAGTCTAAGAACTTAAGAAGATTTTTTTCAACTGAGTTATAACAACATAGAATTGAAGGAGAGAATGCATGAGCATTGCCAGGACTGAAGGAAAGGAGATCTCATCAAATGGGTAGTTGGTCTAGGTGAATTTTCAGAGCTCTTGCAATGTGGAGCCTCCAGAACTCTAAATAATTGAGCCCGTTAGTACAAAGAGAGAGCTCCTTGCTTTGTCAATTTAGAAATCGTCTGCTGGTCTTCACTGTGGTTCATCTAATTCCTGGCTGGTCTCCTCTAAACACATTCCTCTATTCAGTGGTTTTGGCCTCCCAATTGAAATGACTATAAGCCTCTCTCCTCTACGTGTTTAACAAAAAATATATTTTTAATTCTTTTTTTCCAAATAAAGAGCTTAGGAGGTCTCAGGAAGACTGTCCCCAAATGGAGAAATTCCATAAGAAACAAACAAACAAACAAGCCTCCAAGCAAAAATTATACGGCCGTAAAAATCAAACCCTCAAGATTCCGTTTGCCTGGCTGTCCAGAAAATAGAGCTTTGTCTGCCTCTAAGATCTCTTCAGGGATGATGGATTTGCCTCACCCATGACTGGACCCATTAAATTTAAATCTGGGGGCAGGGTAGGTGGGAAACCCTCTGAAGCTCACACCTCCTGAAGGTGGATGGAGAGGGAGAAACATCATCTCCACAGCAACCAGGGGCCCCCAGCATAAGAACCTCCCGTATACCTGGAGCCAAGTCTTCCCATAGCGACTGGGCCTGAGGGTTGCATGGCTGGGGCCTCCTATCTGGTGGTTGGTGATGTCAGTGGAGCCTCTGATGCAGTGATTTTCTTGGAATTATGCAGAAAGTATGGCCCATAAAATAGAAATTAATCTATCAGCTGCAAGGCTTAAAATAAAAACTGATTCACAACCACTTTATTTGTGACCACACCATTGCCAACCAGAAGTAGCCCTCGACTCCCACACACGGGGCTCCATCGGGTTTTCTTTTCACAGTGGCATAAACCGTCAGAGCCAGAATGGCTCTCTGGGATCGTCCAACCCCCTCATTTTACAGATGAGGTTTCGTTTGAAGCTCAGTTCCAAGCGGGCTTGGCGTCCAACAGGAAAGCGTTAACATTTTCCAGAAGCAGGCGTCGCCTCTCAGCTGAAGGCTGCTTTAACATGAAAGTCCACGTCTTGTTTGAATTAGCACGGGTGCTCTGGGCATGATTACTGGAAAGCGGGTGAGCCAGGGGCGGTGGGGGTGGGGAGTGATGTCACTGGAGACCCCAGGTAAAAGCCGTGGGACATGATGACAGTCACCAGCAGAGCCCTCTCTTGCTTAGGCAGATGTTGGAGGGAGAAATGGGGCGGCTTCTTCTGGAGTCGCTGGTTCTAGGTGGCAGCCACAGCCATCAGGGGCTACTCCAAAGAGGCACCTTGGTGTTGGGGCTCAGGTAGACATAGGAGCGTGTCTCCACCACGTTGGGTGACAGACACAAGGGCACCGCCTACTGGCCCTGGAGTCCAAGGATGCTCTCCGGATCCAATGTGGGCAAAGAACTATGTCTAGCAGAATTTGGGGGGCCACTTTTCCAGGGGCTTGAGCCCTTTGAAGAGGAATCTCTTCTCCAGCCACATCCCCAACTCCAACAACACTGGCTCCACCACCGGCTGCATCTTGTAGGGAAACTGGAACCTACCACACGGAATAAGTGTCAAGAGGAAGGGCTCAAATTCCCTGGGATCCTGGGCTCTCTATAAACCCATAGAAGCCCTTACCCACACAGGTTTCTTTTCCGTGTGTGTGTGTGTGTGTGTGTGTTTGTGCGTGCGCGCGCATGGTGTTAGAGGAAGGGCGGGGGTGGGGAATGAGGGAAGTTGTGCTGACAATTGCAAGTCTGTTCTGGAGCCCAGAGGAAAAAGTTAGTACAGACCTAAGTAAGAGAAAGAAAATTTCAGGGTTTCCAAGAATACTTAAATAATTGCTGCTATTCCGGCCCTCAGATTGGCGGTTTGTTTGAGTAATAGCTCTGGCATGAACCCTTTATACCACACTTTGTCCTGGAGGCCAGGCTGGCTCTGTCATGTCTGCAAGGGATACCCCAGGGTGCACCATATTCTGGGGACACTCTACAGTGAGGCAAAGGAACAAAACATTGGGCCATAAGGCAAGGTGGTGAAGATGGCATTTCACTGTCAAGGTGCATGCTCATGGACTTACAGAGATATAGAGGCTTTCCATGGGGTGTCCTCTGAGGCGTGGATTCTCTGCCGTACAAATGCCTGACCTATCTTATTACCCCATCAGATCTCAGTGCATATAAAGAGGCTACACAGGTCATTATTTGGGGGCACTCTCACCTTGCATTAAATTTCCCAGGGCTGAGCTGGATGCTGGTTGCTTACAGGATCCCTGCGTATTTATTCTGCCCATTGTATCTTGACTGTACACTGTCAACTGTGATTTGCTCAGGCACCTCTTCCCTACCCTAGCAGAGGGAAAGATCTTTTCCAGAGTTGTCAGAGGTGCGAAAGTAGGAGGAGAAGTTGGCTGAGTTCTGGGGGTCAGGTTCTGGTCCGGGCTTTGCTTGGCTGTATGCTCTTGAGCAAGTCACCTAATCCCGCCATTGAGTTTTAGAGTAATTTGTTACACTGCAATAGATAGCTCATCCACTGCCCGTAACATCCACCCTGGTGCCACCATTTTGAGAAACACAGACTATATTGACCCCCTCTCCTTCTTCACATGCCGTCTTGGAATGTTTCTTTTCCAGTTTCTCATGTGTCCCTCAAGGATACTGGATGGTTTCTAGGATCTCCACCTTCTCTGGAAAATGTGAGCATGTTAACATTCTTCTTAGGTGGGGCACCAGACTGGTACCAGTAGTGGCGGCACTGTCACCCCCCTCTGGCTTCACTATTCCTGTTTGAAGATTCCTCCTTCACTCACCAGCTATGTGACTTTGTGTAAGTTATTAAACTTACCTGGGCTTCCATTTCCTCATCTGTAAAATGAGGATAAGATATTCCCTGTCTCACAGGGCTATTGTGAGTGAGGATTAAAAGAGATAATGTATGCTGAGTGCTTAAAACAGTGCCTAGCATGTAGTGGGTGCTTAATAAATGCAGCTGTCACATCGTTGGTTAGCATTTAGCCCCTCTGTTCTGTTCAAACTACTACAACAAATGTGCAAAGACAATTGGGGTCACAGAAGAGGGAAAAGGCACTCCCTGTTTGCTGGTCCTTATTCTGCAGGAAACTCCATGTTTCTCACCCATCTACAGGGGCCATTTCTCCACCTCACACAAGGATTGTGGCCCCTCATCTCTTCTGCCTCACGGTCATTGTGAAGTTAAAATGGGCAACTCAGTTCTTAGGTTGGACCTACTGACAACAGACATATGACCTGGTTACAGTAAAAGTGTGTTTGCTACCACAGTGAGTGACTAGAGATAAAAAATTATAAAAAGAAAAAAAAGAGAGTGTTGGAGCTCAAGGTCCCCTTCTCACTTTCTGGAACATCCCTGATTGGAATCTGCCACTTTCCAATACTGGGAGAAACTCTTGTTACTTTCCTGATTACAACTCCATAATGGCTTCCCACTAAGTCCCAGATGCTTACTGCAGTATATCAGGCCGGGATGCCCTGTCCCTGACAGATTCTTTGTCTTGATGGCTCCCTCTCTTTGTCTACACAGACAAGACTCACTTCTCCCTGCCCCTTGCTGCTTGTTGTGGCAAGTTACCCCCGACCCTCCAGCAGGCCCTGGGTCAGGAAGGAAACTCTCACTTGTTCAGGGTGCACTCCCCAGACCACAGTCAACTCTCTAGAAAGGGTTTTAGTCTGCATGTTGGAGAATGCAATAGCAATCCACCTTCCCAAAGGTTTCAATAGTCACTTTCCATGTAGGGTCATACAATGGGGTTCCCAAACTACTTCAGTCATATAAACAAAAGGGGACCATGATGATGAATATCGGGTGTCACTGTTAGGACTCAGACGTGTCAGCCGTGCCCCAAGGGGATGCTGTTGCCTATTTGGAAGCCTCTGGCACTGGGGCAGTACTGCAAATGTGAGCCCTGAGAGTGAGATAAGTTTACTCACCTGTTTACCTACACCTAAGATATATGTTTTGCAGATAATTTTATCCGGTCTCTGGCTCACTTATTCATCTTCTTAGAAGTGTCTTTTGCCCGGGCGCTGTGGCTCATGCCTATAATCCCAGCGCCTTTGGAGGCCGAGGCGGTCAGATCACTTGAGGTCAGGAGTTCAAGACCAGCCTGACCAGCATGGCAAAACCCTGTCTCTACTAAACATACAAAAATTATCCGGGCGTGGTGGCACGCACCTGTAATCCCAGCTACTCAAGAGGCTGAGGTGGGAGGATCGCTTGAGCCAGGAGGCAGAGGTTGCAGTGAGCTTAGATCACACCACTGTACTCCAGCCTGGGCAATAGAGTGAGACTCTGTCTTAATTTAAAAAAAAGTATCTTTTTGTGAGCAGAAGCTTTTAATTTTAATGAAATATAATGTATCTTTTTTTTCTGTTAGGGTTATTGCTGTCTGTGTCCTCTGCCTACTCTCAAATCATGAATATATTCTTGTGTATTTCTTCTGGAAATTTTATAATTTTAACATTTACATTTAGGACTGTAATCCGTCTTGAACTAATTTGTGTGCATGGTATGTGGTATGGGTCAAGGTTTATTTTTTCGCCACATGGATATTCAGTTCCAGCAACATTTGTTGAAAAGACTCGTCTTTCCTCACTGGATTGCATGGACAACTTTGTTGAAAATCAATTGACTACATAAGTGTGAGTCCTGTCCAATACTGTTTCATTATGATTGCAGAATGACGGAAAGATATGACTGTAATAGCAATTCTCTATAGAAACTGTCTAAACACACACTTTCAATGGACAACATGTACAGTTTTGTAATTATTTTCTTTGTTCGTGTTATTTTTGTTCTGGTTTTATTTATTGAAATGTAATTTTTTTTGAGACAGGGTCTCACTCTGTCACCCAGCTGGAGTGCAGTGGCATGATCATAGCTCACTGCAGCCTCAACCTCCCAGGCTCAGGGATCCTCCCACTTCACCCTCCCTAGTAGCTGGGACTACAGATGGGTGCCACCATACCTGGCTAATTTTTGTACTTTTTGTAGAAACAGGGTTTCACCATGTTGCTCAGGCTGGTCTCAAATTCCTGGGCCCAAGAAATCTGCCCTCCTCAGCCTCCCAAAGTGCTGGGATATCAGGCGTGTGCCACCGTACCCAGCCAGAAATGTATTTCTTATGTTAATTAAATCTAATAAAAATCTAGATTTGTATTTCATGTCTTTATTTTTTCTAGTAATTCGTTTTTGTGTTATTTTAAGAAAGTATAGGTTTATGACAGACGAAAAACAAGCAAAACCCTGATCCTTCACCACAGACAGTTTGAGAAGCTCTGCTCTGTATCCTACCAGGCCTGCAGGATATTTCGATATTAACAAGCATTAAGTATAAAGGAATTCCAGAGAAAAATACTTCTGAGAAACATTGGGCTAAAAAGTTAAGCAGGTTTTTATATTGCAGGACTCCCTGGGATCTCAAATGCATTATCAAATTACCGAAAGGAGAATATAGCAGGATGTGTTTCTCAAACTTATATGATCAGGGAACTCTTTCTTCATGGAGCCTCTTGAGAGACCAGTGTTCCATGGAACAACATTTGAGAACCATCAATCCACAACATCCCTCATGAGTAGTCACCAGCATTGGCTTGGAAGGCTCCAACAACATTATCTTGCATGGCAGCCCATCTCGTTTTCAGGCAACTTTCATCCCTGGGGGGTGCTCGTCCTCTCTGGAGTGGCACAGAAGCAAACCCAATCTGTTTTATACTGGAGAGTCCTCTGCAGAGCTTGGGTCTCCTCCTATCACATTCTCTAGCCTAAGTGTCTCTGCATTAAGCTAGGTGCTCCCTTTAAGAGCAGGAGCTGGGCTTGGCTTGTTAAGTCTCTAATGCTTGGCACACAGTAAGCACTTGGTAAATGGTTGTTTAATCAATGAATAAATAAAGCCTCCCTCAGTTCATACCTCAAATTTGCCTCCATCTCCAGACCTTTTGCTGTCTTGGTTGCCTATCACTGGGGAACCATGGAGCCACACGTATTGGGCTCACTCACTTCCTGTCGCATTCGATCGCCGATGCTCATTGTTTCCATGGACACACTTAGCTCTCCGAATCCCACAGCTCTCTTCTGCGTGGCCAGCTTGTTCCCTCCTCAAAGCTTTTGCACAAGCTGTTCCTTCTGCTTGGGAAATGGCCACCTCTTTCTCGCCCTTCTGCTCTCAGCTGAAATGTCACCTCTACAGAGGGACCCTTCCCAAAGTAACATCCTCCCACCACTGTCCATCCCAAGACCCTGTTTTGTTTCGCTTGTAGTGCTTATCACCACCCACAGTTACCTTGTTATGGTGCTTGTTGATGTATTTGTCATCTGGCACCTGGTTTCTGCTCTCACCACTGGGTCTCTAGGGCTAGAACAGTCCCTGGCAGAACATGGACACAACAGAGTTGGTTGAATGTATAACTTAAATCAGTAATCACGGAAGGGAGAGTCTGTCACTCAAGACAACACAGATTCCCCTGCCACGTGTCATCATATATGCTGCTGCCTCTGTTCAATCAGACGCCCTGGGGCAGAGCAAAGCTTCAAGAGACTGACCTTCTAACATAGGCTGATTCATGGAGAGCTCCCTCCAGCCGCCCAGCCTGCTCAGTGCAGCTGGGGCCCGTGAAAGAAGCCCTTGTCACCTTTCACTGTGTGGTCATTCACCGGGATTGGCTCGCCTGTCAGAGAATTTTAATTTTTTGAAAAAATTCAAACCATCTTGAAACATACAAGCCAAGCACCCAGGCACAGGTAGGAGAAGGATGAATACATTTATTCGAGGAGGCCCCTCCAGGAGACCACAGAGGCAGGAGCCAAGTCCTCCTCTCTGAAGCCTCAGCTTGTGTAGCCTTTCTTAGACTTCCTACCCAAAACACTCGGTGTATTGGTGCTCTGAGGGTGCTGGGAGCACCCAGGAGGGGCCCTGAGGATGGTTAAGGGAGCAGGAGAGAGAAGTAAGGCTGCAGTTGCTCTTGGGAGGTTCGAATGTCTGGCATTCTTGGCCCCTCCACACCATCAAGACTTTTGGATGTTTGCTCCCTGAGTATTTCACAAATCTGCCCCCACCCTCCATCCCCAAGCTGCCATTGCTCAAGGCCCACCATCACACACCTGGACTGTAAAATTACCCCCAAACTGGCCACCCAGCTTCTTGGCTGTTTTCCTGTTTTCCAGCAGGCAGAATAACAGTTCAAAAGTGGACATCTGATGGAATGACCCTCCACATCCCAATCTTAAATAACTTCAATGAAGTAGCATCACCGACAGCAAAAATTTGACTTCTTCCCTGGCATTCAGGCCCTCCAAGCTGGCCCTATCTGCTGCTCCTTCATTACCTCCCTTTCTCTTTGCCTCACTGTTATTCTTGGGAAGATCGAGGAGCTTGTGGTGTCCTGGCCACACCATGCCACTCCACAGTAGGGTGAAGGATCAGAAGTGTGAGTCTGGAAGCCATGGGAGATGGAGCTGGTGGAATCTGGGAAGGCTTCCTGAAGGAGGTGATATTGGAGTTATCACCTTAAAGGAAAAGTTAGAGTTAACAAGGCAAAAAAGAGGAGAAGGAGCTTTTGGATTAAATGATTTACTCAAGGATCCCATAGATCATAAATGGCAGAGTTGATGTTACTGATGCTTGGGTAAGACGTAGAAGGGAGAACTGAGCCTGGCATTCTAGAGGTGAGGTCTTTATGGCCACATGGGTCAGGAAATGAAGCTTCAGGATGGCATGAGGCAAGAAGCTGGACCAGAGACACTTCTGTAAAGCCAGGACCACAGGAGTCTGCAGCCTCAGAGCAAAGCTAGATAAGGAAAAATCCCGCCTATCAGCAATAGGAGACGACAGGGCTGCATATTCATCCTCACATGATCTTTGGATTAAAAAAAAAAAAAAGCAAGTCTCCACAGGAGAAATCAAAATCCTAGGACTGCTCTTTCAAAATGTACATAAAATCTAAGGTCCAACAATCCCCAGCCTGATGTGGAGGAGTGGATAGAGTGGTAGAAGAAGCTATAGGGAAAGGAGCAGGACTTCTGAAAGGTCGGAAGGTTCTGCAAAGTTTCAGGGGAGAAGAAGCTGAAGGCAGCTGTTCTCTTACCCTGAGGCAGAGGGCGAGGAGTAGGTACAAGGGAGTGGGGGAATTTATCTAAATAGGCTTGTTTACTCATGTTGTCTAGAAACTCACTTTTGATCATCTGTGTGTGACTGCTCCCTATAAGGGGAAACAATAATATTAATTACCCACATTAACATAAGATTGTGTTGGCTCCAGGCTTTGGCATTATATCTATACTGAATAAAAGCAAGCAGCTCCAGCTTATCAGGACTGCTCACTCTTTGGCCGTCCCCTAGCTGCTCTTACACTGCATACCTGTGTCTGAGTACTCCTTTCATCTGTTGCTCGGCCAGGATCTGCGAGATGGACCCGGCAACTAACAAAATGAGTACCCAACAGGTGATTGGACTGGAGTGCCCTGTAATAGGAGGAGATGCAAACGTACTCTGGATGGTTGCTCCAAAAACCCAGGCAGCAAGGAATTCTCATGGGAAAGAGGAGTCCTGCTAAAACTGAATGACACTACCCATGAGGAAGCGGTCCACTGAGTGAGGGTCAGAGGGACGAGAGCTGAAGACCTCCAATGAACAGAACGCCAATCTCTGAGAGACAGCAAAACCAAAGCCAAAAAAAAACTTAATATGATTAAACATACTAGAATAAGACACCACGAAAAAAAAACAGATTTGAAAGGGGAAACTATAGTGGGTTGAAGAGTGTGCCCCCAAAATTCACGTCTACTGAGAAACTCAGAATGTGGCCTTATTAACGTCTTTGCAGATGTCATATGTTAAGGATCTCAAGATGAAGTCATCCTGGATTTAAGGTCCACCCTAAATTCAAGAACCAATGTCTTTGTAAAAGAAAAGACAGAGAGATTGAGATATTTGGACACACAGAGATGAAGAAAAGAAGGCCACATGAAGAAGGAGGCAGAGACTAGAATTACACAGCCACAGGACCAAGAGCTTCTAGAAGCTAAAAGAGGCAAGAAAGAATTCTCCCCTAGACCCTGAGAGAGAGAGAGCATGGTCCTGCCAACACCTTGATTTCAGACTTCTGGCCTCCAGAATTATGAGAGAACAAATTTCTGTTTTGTTTTTAGACAAAGAGTCTTGCTTTGTCACCCAGGCTGGAGTGCAGTGGTGCAATCTCGGCTCACTGCAACCTCTGCCTCCCAGGTTCAAGTGATTCTCCTGCCTCAGCCTCCCAAGTAGCTGGAATTACAGGTGTGTGTCACCATGCCCTGCTAATTTTTCTATTTTTTTTTTCTTTTTTAACTAGAGATGGGGGTTTCACTATGTTGGCCAGGCTGGTCTCGAACTCCTGACCTCAAGTGATCCACCCACCTCGGCCTCCCAAAGTGCAGAGATTACAGGCATGAGCCACCGTGCCTGGCCATAAATTTCTGTTGCAGCATCCCTAGGAAACCAAGATGAATTTCTAGAAGTGAAAAGTATAGTCTTTTTTATTTTTTATTTTGAGATAGGGTCTTTCTCTGTCACCCAGGCTGGAGTGCAGTGGCGAAATTGTAGCTCATTGTAGCCTTGACCTCCCGGACTCAAGTGATCTTCTGGGGTCACCCAGCTAGTAAGTGATGGAGCTGGATCAAACGCAGAGCTGCCTCCCTTCACAGCTTTCCTCCATGCCCCTGGCTTCCTTGTAACACTGAGCTTTCCACCTCACCTCCTCCTTCTCTGCCCATCTTGCACCTCTTCCCTCCTTTCTTTTCCCCTCCTTTATCGTTTGGCTCGCGTATCCTGAGTCCAACATGTGTAGTTGCTGGACAGGTAGGACTCATCCACATCTGGGATGTACTTTAATGAGAGTATCATTTATATGCTCACAGATTAGAATGGAAAAGGGACTGTTAGGGAAGCCCAGGGAACCGTCCTGCTTTTCAGTTAGGAAATATGGGCGCAGAGGCTGGGAGTGGTGGCTCATGCCTGTAATCCCAGCACTTTCAGAGGCTGAGACAGGCAGATCACTTGAAGTCAGGAGTTCAAGACCAGTCTGATCATCATGGTGAAACCTTGTCTCTACTATCAATAAAAATACAAAAGTTAGCTGGGTGTGGTGGCATAAGCCTGTAATCCCAGCTACTCGGGAGGCTGAGGCACGAGAATCACTTGAACCTAGGTGGCGGAGGTTGCAGTGAGCCAAGATTGGCTACCACTGCATTCCAGCCTGGACAACAGAGCAAGACTGTCAAAAAAAAAAAAAAAAAAAAAAGAAGTGGAGGCCCAGAGAGTGTACACGCCTTGCCCAGAATCACACAGCTGAAATTCCCATGCCTCTCCTTCTCCAGATCCCCTCTCTGTGTCATTAAGTGTATCCCAAGTTGTCTTTTAGCCTTATCTGGAAATCACAGGGTGAGGTCAGGGAAGTTGTAGGGAACAAACTGGGAGATGGACAGTGTGACACCCCCAAACCTCTGTCATAACCGGTGCCCTGCACCCCATGCCCTGGCAGTGGCCACTGGGAGGCCAGGCAGCTCCAGGGCTGCACCCACAATGGGAAGCTGATGGAGCCTTACGAGTTCCTGGCCTTGGGGCTTGCTGTGTGTTTCTCTTTCCAGCCACACTTCTCCTCAAGGTTATTATTAGCAAAAGGGACAAAGCCCTTAATGACTGGAGGCTTGCCCATGCTCAGGAAGCTGGCCCTTAAGCCCTGCGGGCACCTCTCCACAAACAGTTCCTTTGAACAGGCCAGATCTACCTGAGGAGGGAGCAGGCTAGGGGAGGTGCTGTTGTCCTCCACCCCCACTTTTGGGACCCCCTGGGGAGGTCTGACCCTAACTGTACCCCTCAATGGTGAACTATCTTGGGCAAGGGACCTGGGATATTCTGTGAGTTCCAAAGGAATGGTCTCTGTGAGTCTTGTTGTGATGTCCTCTGCTACGACTTCGAAACCCCTTCAGGATCCTGGTTCTTCCTCTCTGTTACATTCCAGGCCCTCCTCATAGCATGGCTACACTCCCACATCCCTCCTGGATCCCAAGATGCTGGTGGGCTGCCTTGGGGCCTCTGTGACTGATTCCCCCCCAGCCATCTCCACTCTGCTGCCTCTGACCCCACCCCAATCCTGAGCACATCCTCAGGGTTGCTGCTTCTCAGAGGTCCTGCTATAGGTGCCCTCCTCTTTCATTTCCTGCCCTTAAAAGGGGGCCCATCATCCTCATCCCTCCATGACCCCTCCCCTGGGATGCAAAGATAGTTTCCCACATCAGCATCCAGCCACAGCTCCGTTGTTCATTTCCAACTTCCTTTACCTCCCCAGCCCGAAAGCTACTAACCACTCACGCTGCCCAGAAAAATCCCCACCCAGGTAGCAGCACCGCTCCTAGATCTTTCCAGACTTGCACTAGGATAACAGCTTTGAAACTTAAAAGCCAAACTTTATTCTGATTTTATTCTGTGGACTGTCCATGATGCTGTATCTTGGAGCAAGGCTGGGTCCGTGTCTCCCTTCCCAAATGAAGTAGGGTCATGTGTTAAGGCCAAATTGGGGTTCGTGGAGGTGGCTGCTCCCTCTCTCCCTGCCCAAGAGGGATTAAGGGTTATTTGTCACAAATCCAAGGCCCAGGTCCAGGCCCCTCACTTTGGAGCTCAAAAGAACGTTTAAAAGCCTCACTGAGTCCAGCCGTCTCACCATGAAGAAGGTGAAGCTGGATGCCAGGAAGGTGGCATGCCTTGTCCAGAGTCACCCTGTGTGCAGCAGAGTCAAAGACGGGACCCAGGTTTCCTGGCTCCCAGGCTGGCTGTGCTTCCGCTGCGGACCCCTGCTTATTACAAGGTTGGAATCAGCAACCTTGGGGCTGGGATTACACCATATCCATCCTGAATCTACTGCAAACCTGCCTCGTTACCCCAAGGAGGTGGCTTTACCACTGGTGAGTCAGATTCCTCATCTACGATTTGGGGATAGGTGGTGGCAGAGACCCCTAGTTCCCCCAAACCCCATCTCTTCCTTGTGTTCCTGGATTGTGCCAGTCTTGGAGATTCTGTCTTTCAGATGTAAATTGGCCCCACTTCTCTCTGCTTGTCTACTTCTTGGCCTACTGAGATCCTGTTTATTGGTTAAATCCTTCCAAATTAGGCTCTCTCTCTGCCCCATCCTTTGCCTGGTGGAAAACATATTTCTCTTTCATAAAATGTATTTCCTAAGTAACTTAGTCACTTACCAGTTGTAAAACTCCCCAGTGATTCTTTTTTTTTATTTTTTTATTGATACATAATAGGTGTGTATATGTTCAGGGTCTCCAGCGATTCTTTTCAAAAACACAGATCGCTTACACGTGTCTCCAAAGTCTGAGGTCTCCCAGACATTATTATCCCTACACACTCTTGACTTTCCATTTCTTAAGAGTCCAGCTCAGCAGCAGCAGCCCTCATTGTCTCACCCAGTTTGGGTAGCTCATCTTTCCTTTTGCAAACTCAAAGCCCTTTCTTTTGGGAGTGTGAAGCCACTGAATCTAAGCAGTGGAAGAGGAAATGAAAGCACAGAGTGGGAGAGAGGCAGATCCAGGATCTTCAGCTGGGTGCATGGCTGGATCTACACTTAAATCTGTGTCTGGGGGCCAGGCACAGTGGCTCACACTTGTCATCCCGCACTTTGGGAGGCCAAGGAGGGTGTATCACCTGAGGTGAGGAGTTCCAGACCAGCCTTGCCAACATGGTGAAACCCCGTCTCTACTAAAAATACAAAAATTAGCTGGGCATGGTGGCACGTGCCTATAATCCCAGCTACTCAGGAGGCTGAGTCAAGAGAATGGCTTGAACCCAGGAGGCGGAGGTTGCAGTGAGCCAAGATCATGCCATTGCACTCCAGCCTAGGTGACAAGAGCAAAACTCTGTCTCAAAAATAAATAAATTAATAAATAAATTAATTAATTAATTAAATCTGTGACTGGGTGCATGGCTGGGTCTATGGCTGGGTTGACTTCTGGGTCCACAACTGGGTCTATGGGTGAGTCTATGGCTAGGTTCATGGCTAGACCTATGGGTGTCTATGACTCAAGAGCTATAGGTGTCTATGGCTTATGTGGCTGGGTCCACAGCTGGATTCATGGATGGGTCTATAGGTGAGTATATGGCTAGATCCATGGCTGGGTCTATGGCTCAGTCCATGCCTAGGTCTATGGATGGGTCCACAGCTGAGTCCGTGGCTGGGTCTATGGCTGGGAGTGTGGCTGGGTCTATGAGTGAGTCTATAGCTGGGCCTATAGCTGGGTCCATGGCTGGATCTATGAGTGAGTGTATGGCTGGGTCTATAACTGGGTATATGGCTGGGTCCATGGGTGAGTCTATGGCTGAGTCTGTGGCTAGGTCCATGGCTGGGTCCACAGAAAGACCTGCCTTCGACTCTAGTCAACTGGCCCCAGAGCCCTGGCCTGGGACTCCTGAGGATGAAATATGTATAGTGTAGTGAGTAGAGCCCAGGTGATCTTGTTTGTAGCTCCAGTTCTGCCGCAGGCTAACCTTGTGGTCTCAGATCAGTCTTGTTCCTGTTCTGAGTCTCGGTTTCACATTTATACAATGAGCCAATGAGGACAAGATCATAGTTTTTACTGTGTTTCATGGAGGCCTAGGGTTCTGATGAAGTTCTTCCAAGACCTGGCAGGGATGGTGGAGGTTGCAAGTTGGAGGTTGGCTTCACCCATCATCTCCTCTAACCAGAACAGCTTGGCATCAATCAAGCTCCCTCACAAGACTTCGTTTAAAAATAAGATTGGAAATTAAAAATAAGATTGGAAAGACTGGAAACCAACCATGTGTTCATCTCTAAAATCTGGCTAGTAAATTATCATACAGCCACAAAATAGAATACAATACAGTTGGGAAAATGAAGGTGCTCTCAAAATGATTTAAAAAAAATGTCTCCAGGATATAGCAAATTTAAAAAGCAAGATATGGAAGGATGTCTAGTGTGCTAAATTTTTTTTTGTTTTTGTTTTTGTTTTTGTTTGTCTGTTTGTTGTTTGTTTTTGAGACAGAGTTTCACTCTTGTTGCCCAGGCTGGAGTGCAATGGCATGATTTCGGCTCACCACAACCTCCGCCTCCCAGGTTCAAGCGATTCTCCTGCTCAGCCTCCTGAGTAGCTGGGATTACAGGAATGCACCACCATGCCCAGCTAGTTTTGTATTTTTAGTAGAGACAGGGTTTCTCCATGTTGGTCAGGCTGATCTCGAGCTCCCAACCTCAGGTGATCCGCCCACCTCGGCCTCTCAAAGTGCTTGGATTACAGGCATGAGCCATTGCACCAGGCCTAGTATGCTAATTTTTATATAATTAAAGGGGAGAATTAAAAATAAATATCTATATGTTTGATTTGCATACAGAAGCCCTGGAAGGATGCATACGAAGCTAATGTGTACCGTCCTGTGGTATCAGGTGGGGTGGGGGTGGCCAGGGGGAGAGTAGATGAAGCTGCAGGTGGAAATGACATTTCTCAATGTATACCTTCTCATAGCACTTTGATATTTGAATCACGCACATATATTACCTTTTCAAAAAACTAAAACTTAAATTTAAAAAATATACCAAGTGAAAAAAAGGGACAGGGGAAAATAAGCTGGCCAGATGATCTCTAAGTTCCCTTGTTGCTTTGATGATCAGGCTGGTGGGGGAGGTAAGGAATGCCCACACATGCCTGTCACCAAAGGCAGATGGGGAAGGGAGAGGCCTTGGGTCCAGGAACTGGGGAGGAGAAGCTGTGCCCCCAGGTCCATGTGCGGGTTCTCTGGGGCTTCTGCCAGTCCTGCTGCATAAACAGCCCATGCAGATGGCCCCTGGTGCCCAAGCCTCAGGCCCTGTGCTCCCTCCCCTGACTGGCCTGGGCTCCCTCTCTCCCAGGAGTGGAGGCCAACGGCTACCCCTCATCAGCCTGCCAGCTGGGAGTGGCCCCACCACTGGCCAGTGGGACAGAGCCTCCTCCACGCAGGGCTGTCTCCAGCTGACGCCAGCCCCAGACTGTGGCCTGAGCCGCGTCCAGGACAGAGCCCAGGGCACAGATGTTCCCATTCTCTGGCTCTGGATGAGCTTCTTGGAAAAATCATGGAGCCAGCCTTCCTCAATCCACCTTTGAGTGGAGAGAAGAGGGGCCCTTCTCTCCTGCAGCCACTGGCACCTGGCTGCCCGCCCTCGGGGGCCGGCCACAGGCTGCTGATCCATGCGGCCCTTGTCTGTGTGGCTGGCTCCTGTCCGAAGGTCACTGAAGGGAGGCAGGCCGGCTGGAGAGAGAGAGGGCGGCAGAGGCTTCCATCAGCCCTGTCTAAAGTTCTTCATGCTCTCTCTGGCTTTTTCTGGGTGGCTCACCAACAGGAAGTGGTCTGGCTAAGACGAAGGGCAGCTGCTGCAGGACCCCTGAGTGGGACATTGCAGCCAGACCAGGACTGACATGAGTCCAGGAGGAGGGAGAAGGGGCTCTGTGTTTATTGCGATACTGTGATGTTGCCAAGCTTTGCAGTGAGACAGACTTGCATTCAAATCCAGGTTCTGCCACGGAGTAACTGCGACTTTAAGCAAGTTATGTAGTGTACTCTCTGAGCCTCAGTTTCATCATCTATAAAATGGGGGAAGGTAAAATGAAATAGGGGTAATAAATCACCTAATCAGAGAGTTGCTGCTGAAAAAATATTGCCTATTCTTCCCCTCTGGGGTATAAGATACAAGGTCAATGCCAGACAGGGTTTAAGACCCTGAAGCCAACTGCCAGGATCCTAGCTCTGCCTAGGGCACCTAATTCACAAGACTGCTGGGAGGAACGAAGGAATTGAGAGTGGTGCTTGGCATGCAGTGAGTGTTATATATTACTTCTTTTTATCATTGTTATGTCAACAACTGCCCACTTTAACCCATATCCTTGTAGGTCCTTGTGTGAGCTGGAATCCCAGGGCCTTTTCTGTCGCCACGCTGGTCTGCTGAGGGTTCGTTCACCAGTTGGCCTTTTCTGAGTCGGCTTCTGAACAGGGATTGGGAAGGGGGTGGGGAAAGCTCAGTTCAACCCCATCCCCCTCAGGGTGGGGACCACAATTCCCCTCACCCGCACTTCAACCAGCATCTGTTTTTCATAAACCCCTTCAGTCTTATGCCTGGGAAGGAGAGTGAATTTCCTTAGGCAACAAAGCCCTCCAAAACCACCCATCATGGGATGGGCGGATCCTGCTGGGCCTCCTTCCCACTCTGCATCTGGACCTGCAAACCCTAGGGCCATCGCCACCTCTCGCACCTCTGCCAAGAGACGTTGCTTCCCTTGTCCAGGCCACAGCCTGCCTGCCCCTCCGTCTCCTGGCTGGCCACTGCTGCCAGCTGCATGCCATCTCCTAGGCTGCCTGATGACTGTGGCCCTCAAGTCCATGCTGAGCTCAGAGCCAGTGGCCCCCCAACCCAGAACTGCTGCCACCCAGTGGCACTCTCAGTGCCAGCCTGGGACCGCTCTTCAAGAGAACCCCTTAAAAGAAAGAGCATGTGAGCCTTCCTAGTGCCTCAGGCAGAAGGACGGACTTCCAGGGTATTCCGCTCCTGGCCCCTGACAGAGGCTGGCAGGGCCCCATCTTCCCATTATCCTGCCCCTTCCCATGAGCTTTCTCTTCGTTCCTTCCATAAACTCAGTTCAAGATTTGTTTTCGGTGTCAATGAAAACTTGCTCAAATATAGGTACATAAAAAAATAGTCTTCCATTTCTTCAAACAAATGAGGCAAGGCAACCGCCAGCTCACTGAGTCGCCAAAATTTTGGTAGGAAGCCATTACTTTTGTATTAAAACAAGACCTCATATGTTATGAGTATATTGTTATGGTCCTATTAGGGAATAGAATGCAATCGTCTGCACGCATTTCCAAGCAAAACATAAGACTCCAAAGATAAATGATAGAATAGAAATCCACCACAGTAGGAGTTATGTCTGTTTTGCTGACTGATGTATTCCCAGTGCTGAGAAGAGGACTTGCCACATGGCAGGAGCTTCATAAATGTTTGTCAAATAAATGTAACACAAGCTTGCAACTTAAGGCTGCAGGCTGGACATCCAGATGAGGATACATTCTATTTCTCTGCCTTTAGGAGAAATGTCTGAGAATCACTTGGCCATACATCATCTCATTTAATCCTCCTACCAAACCAACAGTGCTGTGTGAGGGACATCTTCATGGAGGGTTACTATTGAGCACCTGAACTCACCCCCACCCCTCGATATTGAGAACGTCCCCATCTTGTGAGTCTTGGTGAGAGACTGGGCCTCACTTTCAGTACAGAAGCTTAAAAGACCAGATAATTTTTTTTAAGACAGAGTCTCGCTCTTGCTCTGTCACCCAGGCTGGAGTGCAGTGGTGTGATCTCAGCTCACTGCAACCTCTGCCTCCCTGATTCAAGCGATTCTCCTGCCTCAGCCTCCCAAGTAGCTGGGACTACAGGTGCCTGCCACCACACCTGGCTAATTTTTGTATTTTTAGTAGAGACAGGGTTTCACTATGTTGGTGGGGCTGGTCTTGAACTCCTGACCTTAGGTAATCCACCCAGCTTGGCCTCCCAAAGTGCTGGGATTACACCATGCCCGACCTGCAAGACCAGATAAATATTTGGCCTGCTCCCTGCAAGGAGGGCCTAAACACACACCAAGGAGCAAGTGACACACAGATACAAGCTTGGGTCAGAGTTCATTCTGCTGGGACCCACAGTGATATCCAATGTGCACTGCCAGTGGTGTGGTGCCTGAACGGGGCTGCTCAGTGCTTCTCCTTCCTGCCTGTATTCTGAGCCTGGCCCCAGCCTGACAGACAATTCTCCAAGCCAACCAGCATTCTTCCAGTAGAGTTGCTTTCTGCTTAGGTTGGTAGAGATGTTTTCTATAGGTCATAAGGAAGAACCTTGACGTCTAAAAGTAGATGCTATTATTCTATTTTCTAGATGAAGAAACTGAGGCTTAGGGTGGCACTTATTGAGCACCTACTGTTTGCCAGGCTGTGGAGGGTTAGATACGTGAAGAGGCAGTTTCAGTACAACATGATAGAGGGGTGTACAAGAGGCCATGGAAGCTGGAGTGCCTGCGGGTGGCAGGGGAGGCTTCATGGAGAAAGTGGCACAAGTTGAGACTTTAAGGAGGAGGAGACCATGTGCGGTGGCCCACGCCTATAATCCTAGCATTTTGGGAGGCCGAGGCAGGTGGATCACTTGAGGTCAGGAGTTCAAGACCAGCCTGGCCAACATGGCAAACCCTGTCTCTACTAAAAATATAAAAAGTAGCCAGACCTGGTGGCACATGCCTGTAATCCCAGCTACTCGGGAGGCTGAGGCAGGAGAATCGCTTGAACCCAGGAGGCGGAGGTTGCAGTGAGCCAAGATTGTGCCACTGCACTCCAGCCAGCCTGGGCGACACAGTGAGACCTTATCAAAAAAAAGGAAGGAGGAGGAAGGAGGAAAGGAGAGAATTTTCTTTTCTTTTCTTTTCTTTTTTTTTGAGACGGAGTCTTGCTCTGTCTCAGTGGCGTGATCTCGGCTTGGCGTGATCTCGGCTCACTGCAACCTCTGCCTCCCAGGTTCAATCGATTCTCCTGCCTCAGCCTCCCGAGAAGCTGGGGTTACAGGCGGCCACCACCACACCCGGCTAATTTTTATATTTTTAGTAGAGACGGGGTTTCACCATTTTGGCCAGGCTGGTCTCGAACCCCTGACCTCATGATGCGCCCAGCTCGGCCTCCCAAAGTGCTGGGATTATAGGCGTAAGCCACCACGCCCAGCCGAGAATCTTCTTAACATGCTATGTTAGGGGTATAGCATGTTATTTTAGAGGCTGGAGTGAATGGTGCAGGGGGACCATGACCACAGATGATGCTGGAGGAGAGGGTGGAGGCCAGTTACTGAGGGGCTTTGCCTACCTTATGAATGGATGTACATTTTGCAACCAAGCTTCCTAGTTGTAAGCAACAAAAATAGATTTTGGCTAATATCATCAGAAAAGGCTTCTATCTGAAGAGTATCTGGGAACTCACAGAACTGGAAAACAAAACAAAACAAAACAAAAAGGCTAATAAATTGGGCTTAGAAAAGAACAGGAACCAGGAAAGCAACAACCATTTAGGGAATGAGGACTGCTGGTTTGTCGATGTGCTGCTGCTGCAATAAGAGCAAAATTTTTGCATCCTTGACTCAACCTTCACAAGACTCAAAGTCTTTGGAGACAGAGACCAGTTGGTTTAGTGTAAGAAGGCCAGAGTTCTTGATTTATGATTCCATCATGTCTGCACACTATAGAGAAGAAGCAGATCTCAAAGATATATTGAAGTGTTATTTCCAAAGAAAGAGAAATTAATACTGTGCAACAAATAGCCAACAGACTTTATCATGAAAGATATGCTTAACAAAGGAATGACAATTTTTTGACTTCTAAGAAAGCAGTTTAAAATAAACAATGAGGGAAGGCAAGATTGTGGGTAGAGGGCCAGTGGAAGAAAACTTCAATAATCCAGGAGAGCAATGATGAGGTCATGAGCTAAGGCAGTGAAGATGAGAGCAGAGTGAATGCAGGAGATACCTGGGAAATGGAAGCTTTAGGATTAGGAGGATAATTAGATGTGGGAGGTGAAAGAGACAAGAGCCAAAGAAAGCTCTTGTTTCTGGCTTGAATGACTTGGGTGGATGAGAAAGTCCTGAAGTCAAGATAGAAATACATGAGAAAGGTAAAATGGGAACGGTGAGGCTGTGTAAGAGTATGGGACATGTTGAGTTTGAAATGCCTGCAGATTGTCCAGTTGAAAAGATTAGAACTTAAGAAAGACACTGGTGGATCATCAGCTAAAGGAGTGATTGTAGTTATAGACTTAAGTAAAATTTCCCAGTGAGACAAGGCAGAGTGAGAAACAGAGATGACTGAGAAGGAAGTGCTAAGAAGAAAATGCTGACATTTAAGTGGCAGGCAGAAGAGGGATCTACAAAGGGGTAGAGAGTGAGCTGGAAAGAAGGAGAGGCTGGTTATACAAAAAAATAATAATAATAAAAGAGAGTTCCAGGAGATTGTGGTTGACATTAATATATGCTGCGGAGAAATCACACAGGATAAGCACTGGAAAGTGTCCATTGGATTTGAGTATTGGAAGGTCATTGAGAATGCAGGTTAGAGCAGTTTCAGTGAAGTCTTGAGGACAGACACCAGGAAATTCAGAAGGAGAAGAAAAGACAATACAGTAAATACAGGCTGCCCTGGGGTAAAGCTTGACTGTGAGGGGAAGGGGAGATATGGCAGTAGCTGGAGAGGAGCTGGAGTGATGGGAACATATGAAAGTGAAGAGTGTGCTGAGGGTGGAACTTACTGTTTCTTGACCTCAATCCAATGGAACATCCAAATATTGACTCAGGGTCTTAAAGGGGAAAAATATTTTTAAATCCCTAAAACATGATAAAACGTGAGTCATGATGACAGTGAATGAAATCAGTTGTGTCTGGCCGGGCGCGGTGGCTTACACCTGTTAATCCTAGCATTTTGGGAGGCCAAGGTGGGGGATCACCTGAGGTCAGGAGTTCAAGACCAGCCCGACCAACATGGTGAAACCCCATCTCTACTAAAAATACAGAAATTAGCCGGGCGTGGTGGCACAAGCCTGTAATTCCAGCTACTTGGGAGGCTGAGGCAGGAGAATTGCTTGAACCTGGGAGGCAGAGGTTGCAGTGAGCCAAGATTGTGCCACCACACTGCAGCCTGGGCGAGAGAGCAATACTGTCTCAAAAAAAAAAAAAAAAAAAAAAAGGAATATGTCTATTTGTTATTAAACAATAAACAGTGCAAATTTGGGGGTGAAAATAGGAAATAAAAGCAAAGACAATAAAGGTTATTATTGTGGAGGAATCTGCCAATACCAACTCAGAGTTATCTTTCTGGTTTGCTTAGTCTGTTCACTTCTGAGAGGAGTATATTACTATCTTCAACTATTATTGTTGCTTTATTTAGTTCTGTTCATGATTCTTCCAGCTGTTGTTTCATCAAGACTGTCCAGTGTAGTAGGTAGTAGACACATGTGGCTATTTACATTTTAATTGGCAGGGCACAGTGGCTCATGCCTGTATTCCCAGCACTTTGGGAGTCCAACATAGGAGAATCACTTGATCCCAGGAGTTTGAGACCAGCCTGGGTAACATAGTGAGACCTGCAAACAATTTAAAAAAAATTAGTCGGGTATGATGATGCACGCCTATAGTCCCAACTACTTGAGAGGCTGAGGCAGGAGAATTGCTTGAGTCCAGGAGGTGGAGGCTACAATGAGCCATGATCCTGCCACTGGGCAATAGAGGAAGACCCTGTCTCAAAAAATAAATAAATAAGTCTGAATTAATTAAAGTTAAATCTTCAATTCCTGAGTCACAGTAGCCACATTTCAAGTGTTCAGCAGCCACATGTTGTTAGTGGTTACTGTATTGAACAATGCAGATATAGAACATTTCTGTCACTGCAGAAAGTTCTTTTGGACTGCCTGGCATTATATAATCCTGGGCTATATTGCTAGATGCATATATGTTTATGTTTATGTCTTCTTGGTCTGTGTTCCTTTTATTAATCCATAAAATGCCTCTTTGTCCCTTATGATGTTTGTTACTTGAAATTCTATTTCTAAGAATTTAAATTTGCAACCCAAGCTTTAATTGGTTTATATTTATTCAACACATTTTTCTCCATATCTCTTTTTACCTGCCACACCTAAAATCTACAAATTTGTTAATAAAATGTTTCTGTTTTCTTGCTGATCAAAGTGATAAAGCAATCACAGAAAATAAAAAGACATTTGATACAAAATTGATACAAAATCACAGAAAATAGACATTTGAGCTTGTTGAAAAAAAAATCACATTAAAAAAATTCATGTTGGTTGATTCAGATCTATCTCATTGATATTCAGCAACCATTTTTCTGCTTTTATTGACTTCTTACTGAATTTCTCCTGGGAAGCAATAAAAAATAATTTGTTTCCTTAAATCCAATCACTTTCTGTGGCAAGCTGAAAAATGGTCCACCAAAAGATATCCACATCAAATCCCTGGAATCTATGAATGTTGCCTTACTTGGAAGAAAGAACTTTGTCAATGTTATTAAATTAAGCACCTTGAAATGAGGAGCTAATCCTGGATTATCTGGGTGGGTCCTGAATGCTATTGCAAGTCTCCCCATGAAAGAGAGGCAGAAGGAGATTATACGTCACCACATGCAGAAAGGGCTATGTGAAGATGGAGGCAGGCGTTGGAATGATGCTGCTGTAAGCCAAAGAACACCATGGAATGCCAGCAGCCACCAGAAGCTAGAAGAGACAAGGAATGGATTCACCGCAGAGCCTGCAGAGGGGGGCTGGCCTCGCCAACACCTTGATTTTAGATCTGGCCTCCAGAACTGTGAGAGAATATATTTCTGTTGTTTTAAGCCCTCAAGGTTGTGATATTTGTTACAACAGCCCTAGGGAAAAATACACTCCTATAACTTCCCTATCTTCAGCCAGAACTCCAACTCTATTTTCCGCCAACAAGAAGTTGAGAAATTTCTCAACTTGTAATTTCTCAACTTTTTCCAACTACAATTCAAAATATCTCTCTAGCCACCTTTTCTAACCCCTCTCCCATTGGTATGGTCAGAACTATTCTTCCTTCCTTTTCCCCAGGCTAACGTCTGCATTCAAGCTCTGTCCCATCTTTTATATTCCATGACCCTGGGCCTTCAGTCACCCTCTCTGAATAGCACTGCTTTGTTGTTGCTGTTTAAAAATAATTATATATTGGATACGTGAGATGCATATAAATAACATACCAAACACCTGTATACCTATCACCTAAGAAATAAACCATTATTAATATAGTTGAAGCCCTCAATACCATTCACCCATCTCCCCCACTGCATTTTATTTGATTTGATTTTTCTATAAAAATAATACCTAAATAATTCTTCTAAAAATTAAATATCACAAAGATTATAATAAAAAACAGTGGCCTCCTGGCCAAATGCTCCACATCACACATAACTGCTACCCAAAGGTAAGCATTTTCCAACCATTTAGCTTTTTCTTCCTGTAGTTAGTTCTAATTTCTAAACAGTACCCGTATGTTGATATTTCTTTGCCATCCTATTTGGAATATTACGTACTGACTTCTTCCTATGAAATATGAAGATATGGCCGGGCGAGGTGGCTCACACCTGTAATCCTAGCACTTTGGGAGACCAAGGTGGGTGGATCATCTGAGGTCAGGAGTTCAAGACCAGCCCGGCCAACATGGTGAAACCCTGTCTCTATTAAAAATACAAAAATTAGCTGGTCATGGTGGTGTGCGCCTGTAGTCCCAGCTACTCAGGAGGCTGAGGCAGGAGAATCACTTGAACCTAGGGGGCGGAGGTTGCAGTGAGCCAAGATCACACCACTTCACTCCAGCCTGGGCCAAAAAGCAAAACTCAGTCTCAAAAAAAACAAACACCTGACGTCAGGAGTTTGAGACCAGCCTGGCTAACATGGTGAAATCCCATCTGTACTAAAAATATATAAATTAGCCAGGTGTGGTGGCGGGTGCCTGTAATCTCAGCTACTTAGGAGGCTGAGGCAGGAGAATCGCTTGAACTGGGGAGGCGGAGGTTGCAATGAGCCAAGATAGCGCCATTGTACTCCAGCCTGGGCAACAAGAGCGAAACTCCACCTCAAAAAAAAAAAAAAAAAAAAGAACAAGAAGAAGATATAACACACATCTCTCCTGACCCTTCCAAAATAGTTACCTCATGATTTGGGGGAATTAAATCAATATTCAATGCTTCTATTGTTATTATTATGTAAATTATGACAAAAGGGCAACATACCTACTACTTTTGTACATTTTCTCATTCTTGGCACTAGTAATTGTCTCTCTTTTTAACTTAGTTTTCTATGTGCCTAGTATTAACTCATCTCAAACTAATAGAACCTCCTTTTGGTATGATTCCCTTTTGTTATTGACAGATATTCAGGACCCCCCTCTGCACTCTAGGTTGGCTCCTCTCTGGGCTCAATACACCGCTGTCATCTGGAGACATCCTATCCTCATCTTCCCGGGAATATCTTACACCTTTCTCTTCTACTGGAGTTCCTCTTTTTCAGTTTCCTCCTCCATTTGGGTGGAGCATATCTTCCAATAGCTTCTTTAAAAAGAGATGTGGAAGATAAGTACTTGAAGGTGTAGATTTCTTAAAGCATCACTTTATTTTGTTTTCATATTTGATCTGTACTTTGCTTGGGTATAGAATTTTAGGTTACAAGTTATGTTCCTCACTTGATGCTTTTTGATGATGTAAAAATAATTTTGTTTAAAAAAAGAAATCACTTTCCCTCAGAAGTTTGAGGCATTACATCACTGTCTTCGGTCTTCTAAAGAAGTCTGGTGCCTTTCTGACTCCTGGACCTTAGTGCATGCCCCATTACTCTTCTCTGGAGGCTTCTAGGGTCTTCCTTTTATCCTCAGTGACTTAATTTCCATAGTGATGTCCCTTGGTGTGGGTCTTCCTTTAGTCATCTTGTTGAGCCTCTAGGGAGCCCTTTGTCTTAGATGATCCATACACTTCTGTTCTGATAAATTTTCCTCCTCCCTGTTTTCTCTCTTCTCTTTCTAGAATTCCTATTCATCAGATATTAAATTTCTAAGTGAAGCCTCTAGTTTTCTTATCTGTTCTGTCCCATTTTCTTTTTTGTTTTTAATTTCTGTGGGTACATAGTAGGCATATATTTTTATGGGGTACATGGGATATTTTGATACAGGCACACAATGCATGTCAGGGTAATGGGGTATCTGCCACCTCAAGCATTTATCCTTTGTGTTGCAAACAATCCAGTTATACTCTTTTACTTATTTTAAAATGTACAATAAATTATTGTTGACTGTAGCCACTCTGTTGTACTATCAAATACTATTCATCCTATCTAACTATATTTTTATACCCGTCAACCATCTTTCCTTCCTCCCCACTCCCCACAACACTTCCCAGCCTCTGGTAACCAACCTTCTACTCTCTATCTCTCATGAGTTTGGTTGTTTTAATTTTTAACTCCCACAAATAAGTGAGGACATGAAAATAAGTGGAATTTGTCTTTCCGTACCTCACTTATTTCACTTAACATAATGGCCTCCAGTTCCATCCATGTTGTTGCAAATGAGAGGATCTCATTCTTTTGATGACTGAATAGTACTCTATTGTGTATATGTACCACATTTTCTTTTTCCATTTGTCTGTTGATGGACATTTAGGTTGCTTCCAAATCTTGGCTGTTGTGAATAGTGCTGCAATAAACATGGAAGCGTGACTATCTCTTCAATATATTGCTTTCCTTTCTTTTGGGTATATACCTAGCAGTGAGATTGCTGGATCATCTCATAGTTCTATTTTTAGTTTTTTAAAAGAATCTCCAAATGGTTCTACATAGTGGTTGTACTAATTTACATTCCAACAACAGTGTACAAAGGTTCCCCTTTCTCCACATCCTTGCCAGCATTTGTTATTACCTGTCTTTTAAATAAAAGCCATTTTAACTGTGGTGAGATGATATCTCATTGTAGTTTTGATTTGCATTTCTCTGATGGTCAATGATAATGAGCACCTTTTCGTATACCTGTTTGCCATTTGGATGTCTTCTTTTGAGAGATGCCTATTCAGCTCTTTTGCCCATTTTAAAATCATATTATTAGATTTTTTTTCCTATAGAGTTGTTTGATTCCTTATATATTCTGGTTAATAATCCCTTGTCAGATGGATAGTTTGCAAGTATTTTTTCTCATTCTGTGGGTTGCCTCTTCACTTTTTTGATTGCTTCCTTTGTTGTGCAGATGCTTTTTAACTTGATATGATCCCATTTCTCCATTTTTGCTTTGGTTGCCTGTGTGTGTTGGTATTACTCAGGAAATCTTTGCCTAATACAGTGTTCTAGAGAGTTTCCCCAATGTTTTCTTTTAGTAGTTTCATAGTGTGAGGTCTTAGATTTAAATCTTTAATCCATTTTGAATTCATTTTTATACATGGCAAGAGATAGTCTAGTTTAATTTTTCTGCATATTGATATCCAGTTTTGCTAGCACCATTAATTGAAGAGACTCTCCTTTCTCCAATGGATGTTCTTAGAATGTTTGTTGAAAATGAGCTTATTGTAACAAAAAATAAATAAAATAAAAAACAAAGAAAATGAGTTTATTGTAGATGTATGGATTGGTTTCTGGGTTCTCTATTCTGTTCCATTGGTCTACACGTCTGTCTTTATGCCAGTACCATGATGTTTTGGTTACTGTAGCTTTGTAGTATAATTTGAAATCAGGTAATGTGATTCCATTAGTTTTGATCTTTTTCTCAGGATAACTTTGGCTATTCTGGGTCTTTAGTTGTTCCATATAAATTTTAGGATTATTTTTTCTATTTCTATACAGACTCTCATTGGTATTTTGTTAAGGATTGTTTTGAATCTGTAGATTCATTGGGTAGTATGGACATTTTAACAATATTGATTCTTCCAATTCATGAACATGGAATATCTTTCCATATTTTGGTGTCCTCTTCAATTTCGTTCATTGTTTCATAATTTTCACTGTAAAGATATTTTACTTCTTCTGTTAATTCCTAGATATTTTATTTGTAGCTATTGTAAATGGGATTACTTTCTTGGTTTCTTTTTTAGAGTGTTCACTCTTGGCATATAGAAACGCCATTGATTTTTGTATGTTGATTTTGTATCCTGCAACTTTGCTGAACTTATCAGTTCTAATAATTTTTTGGCAGAGTTTTTAGGTTTTTCCAAATATAAGATCATATCATCTACAAACAAGGATAATTTGAGTTCTTCCTTTTCAATTTGGATGCACTTTATTTCTTTCTCTTGTCTGATTGCTCTAGCTAGGACTTCCAGTACTGTATTGAATAACAGTGGTGAAAGTGGGCATCCTTGTTGTTCTAGACGTTAGATGAAAGGCTTCCAGTTTTCCTCCATTTAGTGTAATATTAGCTATGGGTCTGTCAAATATGGCTTTTATTGTATTGAGATATGTTCCTGGTATATCCCGTTTTTTGGCGGTTTTTATCATGAAGGGATGTTGAATTTTATCAAATGCTTTCTCAGCATCAATTGAAATTATCATTTTTTTGTCCTTATTCTGTTGATAAGATGTATCACATTGATTGATTTGCATATGTTGAATTATCCTTGCATCCCTGGGATAAATCCCACTTGGTCATGATGAATGATCTTTTTAATGCTGAATTCAGTTTGCTAGTAATTTGTAGAAGATTTTTGCATAAATGTTCATCAGGGATATTTGCTTGTAGTTTTCTTTCTTTTCTTTTTTTTATTGTGTCTTTGTATTAGAGTAACACTGACCTTGTAAAATGAGTTTGGAAGTATTCCCTCCTCCTCTATTTTTTGGAATACTTTGAGTAAGCTTCGTATTTGTTCTTCTTCAAATGTTTGGTAAAGGCCGGGCGCGGTGGCTCACGCCTGTAATCCCAGCACTTTGGGAGGCCGAGGCGGGCGGATCACGAGGTCAGGAGATCGAGACCATCCCGGCTAAAACGGTGAAACCCCGCCTCTACTAAAAATACAAAAAATTAGCCGGGCGTAGTGGCGGGCGCCTGTAGTCCCAGCTACTTGGGAGGCTGAGGCAGGAGAATGGCGTGAACCCGGGAGGCGGAGCTTGCAGTGAGCCGAGATCCCGCCACTGCACTCCAGCCTGGGCGACAGACCGAGACTCCGTCTCAAAAAAAAAAAAAAAAAAAAAAAAATGTTTGGTAAAATTCAGCACTGAAGCCATTTGGTCCCAGGCTTTTCTTTGCTGGAAGTCTTGTTATTACAGCTTCAATCTCCTTACTTGTTGTTGGTCTATTCCGGTTTTGGATTTCTTCATGGTTCAATCTTGGTAGGTTGTGTGTGTCTAGGAATGTATTAATTTCTTCTAGGTTTTCCAATTTATTGGCATATTGCTTATAGTAGCCTCTGATCATCCTTTGAATTTTTGTGGTACCAGTTGTAATAGCTCCTTTTTCATCTCTGATTTTATTTATTTTGGTCTTGTCTTCTTTTCTTAGTCTGGCTAAAGGTTTGTTGATTTTATCTTTTCAAAAAACTAACTTTTCTTTTCATTGATCTTTTGTATTTTTTCTTCACTTCCATTTCATATATTTCTCATCTGATCTTTATTATTTCCTTTCTTCTACTAATTTTGGATTTTGTTTGCTCTTGCTTTCCTAGTTCTTTAAGATGCATCACCTGGGTGCTGTGGCTCACACCTGAAGTCCCAGATACTTGGGAGGCTGAGGTGGGAGGATCACTTGAGCCGGAGAGGCGGAGGTTGCAGTGAGCTAAGATCATGCCGCTGTACTCCAGCCTGGGAGACAGAGTGAGAGTCAGTCTCACTCACTCTCTCTCTCTCTCTCTCTCTCTCACACACACACACACATACACACACACACACACACAGAGATGCATCATTAGGTTGTTTACTTAAAATTTTTCTACCTTTCTACTTTTTTTTTTGAGACAGAGTCTCATTCTGTCACCCAGGCTGGAGTGCAGTGGTGCCATTTCGGCTTACTGCAACCTCTGCCTCCCAGGTTCAAGTGATTCTTGTGCTTCAGCCACCTGAGTAGCTGAGACTACAGGCATGCACCACCACACCTGGCTAATTCTGGGCATTTTTAGTAGAGATGGGATTCATCATGTTGGCCAGGCTGGTCTTGAACTCCTGGCTCAAGTGATCTGCCCACCTTGGCCTCCCAAAGTGCTGGGATTATAGGTGTGAGCCACCATACCTGGCCTGGAATTGTTCTACTTTTTTGATGTAGGTGCTTACAGCTATAATTAAATATTCCTCTTAGTATTTCTTTCACTACAGCCAATAGGTTTTGGTATGTTGTGTTTCCATTATCATTTGTTTCAAGATTTTTTTTTCTGAGACAAGGCAGCATGAGCAAAAAATAACATAAAATAAAGGAATTTAAAAATTTCCCTCCTAATTTCTCATTGACCCACTGGTCATTCAGGAGCATATTGTTTAATTTCCATGTGTTTGTATAGTTTCCAAAATACCTCTTGTTATTGATTTCTAGTTTTATTCCATTGTGATCACAGAAGATACATGATATCATCTCAATTTTTTTTGAATTTTTTAAGACTTGTTTTGTCTTAACATATGGTCTGTCCTTGAGAATGTTCCATGTGCTGAGAAGAATGTGTATTCTGCAGCCATTGGATAAAATGTTCTGTAAATATCTTTTAGGTCCATTTGGTCTGTAGTGCAGATTAAGTCCAGTGTTTCTTTGTTGATTTTCTGTCTGGATGATCTGTCCAATGCTGAAAGCAAAGTGTTGAAGTCTCCAGTTATTATTGTATTGGGGTGTATGTCTCTCTTTAGCTCTAATAATGTTCGCTTTATATATCTGGGTGTTCCAATGTTGGGTGCATATATATTTACAATTGTTATATCCTCTTAGTGAATTAACTCTTTTATCATTGTATAATGACTTTTGGTTTTTGTCTTGGAATTTATTTTGTCTGATGTAAGTATAGCTACTCCTGCCCTTTTTTGGTTTCCATTTGCATGGAATATATTTTTCCATCTCTTTATTTCTAGTCTATGTGTGTCTTTATAGGTGAAGTGTGTTTCTTATAGGCAACAGATCACTGGGTTTTTTGTTTTTTTTTTTAATCTATTCAGCCACTCTCTGTCTCTTGATTGCAGAGTTTAGTCCATTTACATTCAATGTTGTTTCTTGCCATTGTTGTTGTTGTTGTTATTGAGACAGGGTCTTGCTCTGTCAGCTAGGCTGGGATGCAGTGGCATGGTCATGGTTCACTGAAGTCTTGACCTCCTGGGCTTAAGCGCTCCTCCTACCTCAGCCTCCTGAGTAGCTGGGACCACAGGTGTGTACCACCATGCCTAGCTAATTAAAAGAATGTTTTGGCTGGGTGCGGTGGCTCATCCCTGTAATGGCAACACTTTGGGAGGCCGAGGCAGGTGGATCACCTGAGATCAGGAGATCAAGACCAGCCTGGCCAACATGGTGAAACCCCATCTCTACTAAAAAAATAAAAATTAGCTGGGCATGCTGGCAAGCACCTGTAATCCCAGCTACTCAGGAGGCTGAGGCATGAGAATCACTTAAACCTGGGAGGTGGAGGCTGCAGTGAGCCAAGATTGTGTCACTGCACTCCAGCCTGGGAGACAAGAGTGAAACTCCACCTCAAAAAAAAAAAAAAATTATAGAACAGCAACTTAAGACAGGTGAGAAATAAAAATAAAAAAATACATATAAATAAATAAATTTTTTTTAATAGACACTAGGACTTACTATGTTGTCTGGGTTGGTCTCAAACTCCTGGGCTCAAGCAATCCTCTCACCTTGGCCTCCCAATGTGCTGGAATTACAGGCGTGAGTCACTGTGCCCAGCCCAATGTTATTATCAATAAGTAAGTACTTACTCTTCCCATTTTGTTATTTATTTTCTGGTTGTTTTGTGGTCTTCTTTATTTTCTTCCTTGCTTTCTTCCTTTTAGTGAAGGTGATTTTCTCTGGTGATATGTTTTAATTTCTTGCTTTTTATTTTCTGTGTGTCTGTTGTAGGTTGTAGGGTTTTTTTTTTTTTTTTTTTTTTTTTTTTTTTTTTTGAGACGGAGTCTTGCTCTGTCGCCCAGGCTGGAGTGCAGTGGCGTGATCTCGGCTCACTGCAAGCTCCACCTCCCGGGTTCATGCCATTCTCCTGCCTCAGCCTCCCGAGTAGCTGGGCCTACAGGCGCCTGCCACCACGCCCGGCTAATTTTTTGGTATTTTTAGTAGAGATGGGGTTTCACCGTGTTAGCCAAGGTGGTCTTGGTCTCCTGACCTCGTGATCCGCCCACCTCGGCCTCCCAAAGTGCTGGGATTACAGGCGTGAGCCACCGTGCCCAGCCCCTGTTGTAGGTTTTTTGTTTGTTTGTTTTGTTTTTCTGTTTTGAGACAGGTTCTCACTGTCACCCAGACTGGAGTGCAGTGGAACAATCATAACTCACTGAAGCCTCTACTTCCTGGGCTCAGGCAATCCTCCCACCTCAGCCTTTCAAGTGGCAGGGACTACAGGCATGCACCATCATACCTGGCTAATTTTTTTCTGTTTTTTTTGTAGAGGCGGGGTCTCACTATGTTGACTAGGCTGATCTTGAGCTCCTGGGTTCAAGCAACCCTCCCATCCTGGCCTTCCAAAGTGTTGGGATTACAGGCATGAGCCACCATGCCAGGCCCGTTGTAGGTTTTTTGATTTGAGATTACCATGAGGCTTGCAAATAATATCTTACAACTCATTATTTTAAACTGATGACAACTTAACACTGATTGTATAAACAAACTAACAAACAAAGAGAAAACTAATAAAATGCTACACTTCAACTTTCTTTGTTTCTGCTTCATTTTTGAAGGGTATTTTCAATGCATATACTTTTCTAGGATAAAAGTTTTTTTCCTTCATCACTGTAAATATGTCATGCCACTCTCTCCTGGCCTATAAAGTTTTCACTGAAAAGTCTGCTGCCACATGTGTTGGAGCTCCGTTGTATGTTATTTGTTTCTTTTCTCTTGCTTTTGGGATCCTTTCTTGATCCTTGACCTTTGAGAGTTTGATTATTAAATGTCTCAAGGTAGTCTTATTTGGGTTAAGTCTGTTTGGTATGCTAGAACTTTCTTATACTTGAATATTGATATCTCTTCCCCTAGATTTGGGAAGTTGTCAGTTATCATTCCTTTGAATAAACTTTGAATAAACTTTCTATCCCTATCTCTCTTTACATCCTCTTTAAAGGCCAATAACTCTTAGATTTGTCTTTTTGAGGCTATTTTCTAGATCCTGTAGACATGTTTCATTGTTTTTTATTCTTTATTCTTTTGTCTCCTCTGACTGTGTATTTTCAAGTAGCCTGTCTTCAAGCTCACTAATTCTTTCTTCTGCTTGATCAGTTCTGATGGTGAGAGACGCTGGTGCATTCTTCAGTAGCCAATTGCATTTTCCTACTCCGGAATGTCTGCTGGAGTCCTTTTAATTACTTTAGTATCTTTGTTAAATTTATCTGATAGGATTCTGAATTCCTTCTCTGTGTTTTCTTGAATTTCACTGAGTTTCCTCAAAGCAGCTATTTTGAATTATCTGTCTGAAAGGTCACATATCTCTGTCTCTCCAGATTGGTCACTGGTGACTTATTTAGTTCGTTTGGTGAGGTCATGTTTTCCGGGATGGTCTTGATGCTTGTAGATGCTCACTGGCATACGGGCATTGAAGAGTTAAGTATTTATTGTAGTTTTTGCAGTCTGAGCTTGTTTTTACCCATCTTTCTTGGGAAGGCTTCCCAGGCATTTGAAGGAACTTGAGTGTTGTGATCTAAGTTTTTGGTCACTGCATCCATATACGCATTAGGGGGCACCCCAAACCCAGTAATGCTGTGGCTCATACAGACTCACAGAGGTACTGCCTTGGCAGTCTTGAATAAGATCTGGAAGAGTTCTCTGGATTACCAGGCAGAGGCTCTTGTTCTCTTCTCTTACTTTCTCCCAAACAAATAGAGCCTCTTTGTCTGTGCCACGCTGCCTGGAGCTGGGGGAGGTGTGACACAGCACCTGTGTAGCTACTACCACTGAGACTGCACTGGGACAGATCCGAAGCCAGCACAGCACTGGGTCTCGCCTAAGCCTGTGGTAATCACTGCCTATGTTCGTCCAAGGCCCTAGTGCTCTACAATCAGCAGGTGGTAAAGCCAGCCAGGCTTGCGTCCTTTCCTTCAGGATGGTGAGCTCCTCTTGGCCCTGGGCAGGTCTAGAGATGCTCTCTGGGAGCCAGGGCCTGGAGTTGGAAACCTTAGGAATCTACCTGATGCTCTATTCCACTGCAGCTGAGCTAGCATCCAAGCCACAAGACAAAGTCCTTCCCACCCTTCCCTTCCCATTCCACAAGTAGAGGAGTCTCCCCCCATGGCTGCCATCATCCCAGGCCTGTGGTGAGTACAACTTGGCTACCACTGATATTCACTTAAGGCCTGAGAGCTCTTCAGTCAGCTTGTGGTGAATGATACCAAGCCTGAGATTTTCCCATCAGGGCAGTGGGCTATCCTCTGGCCCAGGGCAGGTCCAGAAATGTCAAGACCCATAGCAAGTATTGCCTGGGTATCATTGTGGATTATTCAGGGCCCAAGGGCTCTTTAGTAAGCAGGTGATGGATCCTGACAGGACTGGGTCCTTCCCTTCAAAACGGCAGTTTCCCTTCTGGCCCAAGGTGTATCTAGAAATGTTGTCTGGGAGCTAGGGCCTAGAATGGAGGCCTCAGGACTCTGCCTGGTGCCCTATCCTACTTTGGCCAAGCTAGTACCCAAGTTGCAAGACAAAGTCCTCTTTACTCTTCCCCCTCTTCTCCTTAAGTGGAGGAAAAGAATCTCTTCCAGAGCTGCTTGCTGCACTGCCTGGGGCTGGGGCGGGTGGGGGAGTGGTGCAAGCACTTTCTTGGCTTCCCTGGCTGGTGTCTCACTAGGTCATTTGCCCGGCAAATCCACTGGCTCCAAGCCCAGCACAGCACCAAGACTTGCCCAGGAACTGCAGTTCTTGTGGTCTAGGTTGTCTCTCAAGTTTACTTAGAACCCTAGAGCACTTTAGCCCACGATGGCGGGACTTGCTGGAACTCAAGTTCCAACTGCTGGGATGGGTGATTCCCCTCTGGCTAGGGCTGGTCTACATGCTCCCTCCATGGGTGCCAGCTGAGTTCTGCCTGGTGTTGCTTTCCACTGTGACCAGGCAGCATTGAGTTCTAACACAAAGTCCCACAGTCACTGTTTCTCTCCCACCCACAAGTGCAGATTATCTGTCTGCACCACAGGCTGCTGACGGGGAAACGAGGAGGGGATGGCACCAGCAACTCAGGACTATCTTTCCTACCCTCTTCAGTGCCTATTTCAGTGATATGAAGTTAAAACCAGGTACTGTGATCGCTCACCTGATTTTTGGTTTTTATGAAGGTGCTTTTTTGTTCACTTTGGTGTTCCTTTGGGAGGATGATCAGTGAAGGCTTCTACTCAGCCATCTTGCTCCGCCTCCATCTGTCTTCTTTTCTCTTTAACTTTTTGGTCTATTTTCTGGAAGTTTTACACAACTTGATATTTTAATATTTTATTGCATTTAAAATCTATGCTGTACTATTTTTACTTGTGAAGAACATTTTTTGTTCTTTAAATATTCCTTTTTAAGTAGTGATATTTACTTTTTGGATGTAATATATTTGATTTGTTTTCTGATAATATTAATTATGCTCTTTTTCCCCCTTTCTTTCTTTAAAGTGTCCTCCCTGCTTTGTATTTATTCCTTCTCAGTTTTCACCTACTCTTTGTTGGGGTAACTTTCAGGTAGAAACTTTCCTCAAAAGCCTGGTGATCCTTTGCTGGCTATTCATATTGAAGAGTGAGGCACTAAAAGCCTGATTAGGGGATCTGTCTTTGTGTGGAAAGGGCTCATTGACTGTGGGCCTCACTGTAGGGTGATGGAGCAGAAGTCCAGCTGGTTCACTGGGAACCCCAGATAGCAATATCTATAGGTTTTTGCCATTGGCTTGGTCAGTTTCCTCAGAGAGAAATTCTTTTGTCTCACGCCAGGAGGTTAGAGATTAACAGAAGCATTTTGGAGGCACAGTGTGGGAAGCTGTACAGATGTGAGAGGTCTCACTATTCAGAATGCCGTACCTGCCACCACAATCTCCTCTTCCCACCTGCAACTTCTGGGAACTATGAAACAGTTCTCCATGTTTATAATTTTGTCACTTACAGAAATTTTTTTAAGTGGAATCATGCAGTATACACCTTTTGGGATTGACTTTTACACTCAACATAATTCTCTGGAGATTGATCTAAGTTGTTAAGTGTATAAATAGTTTCCCTTTATTATAGTAGCATTACATGGTATGGACACATCACAGTTTATTTAACCACTCACCCATTGAAGGACGTCTGGGTTGTCTCCAGT
Organism: Homo sapiens; assembly: GCF_000001405.40. Classification (NCBI taxonomy): domain Eukaryota; kingdom Metazoa; phylum Chordata; class Mammalia; order Primates; family Hominidae; genus Homo; species Homo sapiens. The sequence goes on along the minus strand of NC_000015.10, from coordinate 88,662,034 downwards.
TTTTTACTATTATGGGTAAAGCAGCTATAAACATCCATGTACAGATTTTTGTGTGAACATATGTTTTTGTTTCTCTTGGATAAATGCCCAGGAATGCAATTGCTGGGTTGTATGGTAGTTGCATGTTTAGTTTTTTATGAAACTCCCATTTTCCAGTATGACTGTTTCTGCGTTTTAAATAAAAACTTAGTTAAACATGGAAGTGTATGTTCAAAGTTCTTTTCCTTCTACTCTTTGAAGATGTTATTCCATTTCCCTGCATTGAATGTTGCTGTTGAGAAGTTAGATATCAATCTCACTCTTACTTCTTTGTAGGTGATCTTTTCCTCTCTGGAAGCTTATAGAACTTTACTTAAAATTTTTTTTCCAGGCTCTACATTAAGGACAAAAGAATTTCATTTTTGACTTTCAGACTTTTAAGATTCCACTGAAATGTATCTAGATGTGAATTTATACTTACAGACTTAGTTGGGAATGCAGTGGATTCTTTCCATATTAACATGCATTCTTTTGTATTATGGGAAATTCTTGGTTATTATTTTTTCAAATATTTTCTCTACTCTGTTTAGTCTTTTGGGGTTTCTAGTATATAGATCTATTGTTGCATTAAAAACTACCCTAAAACTTAATGGCTTAAAACAGTATTAAGCCTTTATTATCTTGTGCAATTTCTTGAGGTCAGGAATCTGGGGTGACTTAGCTGGGTGATTCTGGCTCAGAGTCTCTCAAAGTTGGAGTCAAGATGTTGGTCAAGGCTGCAATCATCTGAAGACTTGGCTGGTGTTAGAGAATCTGATTCCAGGATGGCTCACTCACATGACTGGCAAGTTGATGTTGGCAGTGGCCCTCAGTTCCTGCAAATGTGGACCTCTTTGTAGGATTGATTGGGTATCCCCCCAACATGGCAGTTGGCATACCCCTGAGCAAGGGATTTCAGAGAGAGTAAGAAGAAAGCCACATTGACATTTATGGTCTGGACTTGGAAACTACAATCTGTTAGTTCCTTAATATTCTACCAGTTACACAGGTCTGACCTAGTCAATGTTGTGAGGAGGTGGGTTGACTTCTACACAAGGAAGTGAATATCAGGAGATAGAGATCACTGAGGGCTGTCTTTGAAGCTGGCTACTATAGATCAGAACATTTCTTCTTTTCTATCTCCTGACTTGTCTTTCATTCTCATTTCTTTATCCCTTCCTGATGTCTTTTGGATGAGGTTCTCAACCAAGTCATTTAGCTCAGTAATTTCTCATTTAGCTGTATTCTCTCTGCTATTTAGCCTATGCCACTGGAGTGCAGTAATGCAATCATAGCTCACTGCAGCACTGAACTCCGGGCTCAAGTGATCCTCCATTCTCAGCCTCCCAAGTATCTAGAACCACAGGCATGCACCACCATGTCTGGCTCATTTTTGTATTTTTTTTGTAGAGACAGGGTCTATGTTGCCCAGGTTGGTCTCAAACTCCTGGCCTTAAGTGATCCTCCCACCTTGGTCTCGCAAAGCTCTGGGATTACAGGTATGAGCCACTGCACCTGGCCATCCCAAGTTATTTCAAAAACTAGTTTTTTTTTTTAAACATAAGTGTTGTATTATTTGTGCCTTATGCCCTGCAGGTGTATGCACATGAACATGTTTAAGGGGGTGGAGCGGGGGCAGGTAGCAGCTTGGGGGCAATAGCCAGCTCTTCCTCTACCTTCATTCCCAGGGCCGAGTACAGCCCCCAGCACACAGGAGATGCTGAGTAAACATGCATTGGGAGGAGAACAACATTAATAACAACACAGTGGTTATTGTCTTTTAAGTACTTGTTGTGTGTCCCTATAAACCTACAAGCACCCTCTGAGGTGGGCACTGACATTTCCATTCTGGAGGGACCTCAAGGCTGGAGAGGGGCTCTGGCAGAACTAAGTTCAGGTCTTTCTGCTCTGTTCTAGCCCTAAAATTGGGAGAATGGAATAGGAGAATGAGGAGGGCAGGACATCCATCCCTGAAAGAGGGGACCCGGTCAGTGCCCTAAAACCAAGGGTTCCAAGCAGTGTTCCCTGGGCCTCCCCATGTGCCTGGGAACAGAGGCCTGCAGCTTCTGCCACAAGACAAACATTGCTGGAAATCTGGGTGCTGGGGCTAGGCCAGCGTTTGCCTTTTCCTCCACGTCTCGGCAAAGCTACTCGAAAGTCTCTCATCCCCCAGCAGGAAAAGCATATGTTCTTTCCATATAGAGGAGAAATTGTTCCACCAGTGAGTAAGCCTCTTGGCTGCAGAGCCTGGCCCAGCCCGCAGAACACTGGACAGGAAGCTGGGCTGTGCTGGTTACCACTCCTGGAACTGGGACAGGGCTGGCTGACACCCTTGGAGACAACAATGGGCCTTCGGATGGGGCTGGGGGACAGTGGGGAAGCAGGGGCTGGGATGTGCCTGGAGACATTCAGTGGTTCAGGGTAGGAGGAACGTGAGTACACCCCTGAATAGAAGCCGCACTTTTCTCTATTCTGGCTGAGATGGGCTGGAAGAGGGGACGGAAAAGGGGACTGAGAGGGGCGGGGCAGCCTTTCCAATCCCCTCACTGGGTCAGCCCAGGAGTCTGGGTCTGAGTCAGAGGTGACTCAGGTGTGCTCAGAAAGGTGGGGCCGTGTTTTAGACTGTTATTTCCAGCTACCCAAAAAGTCTCTTTGATGCCTGCACGGTTAGGTGGCAGGCAGTGACTCTTGTCCCTGACACCTTAGTTCATCCTGCCAGTGTCGCAGGTCTTTCCACCAGCCTCAGCTGGATGGTGGATGCTGCTCTTTCCCTCAGCTCACCTGGGTCCTGCTTCTCTCTCCACCTTTTCCCCGTTTGTTAAGGACCCACTGAGAGCGGGGCTTGGGGAGTGTGGGGAGAGAAGGGACAAGGAAGCCAGGTTGTAGGAATGGGTAGGGGGGCAGCTGGCGGGGGGTAGAGGAGAAATCGGGAGGGGTTTCACATAAAAGGAAAACATTGAGAAAATGAGTACATTTAACCTGGAAAGTCAAAGACTCACGGGAGAGGATGGTGACATGAAAACCATTTGAAGATGTGTCACAGGTCACCTCATTAAAGTGGGATTGAATTTCTTGTGGGCGTGAGCTTGAGGGGGACAAACCTTGCTATGCCTAAATCCAGGGCCCCCACCCTCTGAGAAGTGCTTTTGAGAAGTTGATTTTCTGTCCTTGGACACATCCAGGCCAAGGGTAGATGACTCCCAGTCAGAAAGAGTCAGGTATCAGCTGGGAGGTGGACTGGAGTTTAGGTTTCAGACTGGTGGCCTGTGGGCCAGACACAGCCCTGACAATGTGCACAATGGCCAGCACTTGTGCATGGCCGCAGCAAGCTGGGGCTGAGTGGTAACTGCCTGCTCCAGCAAGACGTACACTCCCTGTTCCCCACAGCACAGCTGGTCTGTTTCAGTCATTTATTTTTCAGGACAGGCCCTTGAGACATTTTCATCTGTGACCCTTGGAATAGATGCCTGGAATACACCCACCTTTCTCTCTCTCTAGGTGTACCCTGTAGGCTCAGCTGGGGCAGCTGCAGGAGGAGGAAGTAGTACCTGCTAAGACGCAGGCCCTCCCATCGGCTCAGGGGACACCAGATAGCCTGAGCTGCCTGCCCTGACTGGGACCCCAGATAGGGCTCCCCGTGGGCTAGACATTACCACCTCAATAAACATCGCCTTTCCTTCTCCCATCCTCAAACCTCATCAGAATAAACCCCGCATTTGCTGGCATCGACTCCAATTGTGTTGAGGAGTCTAGAGGGGCAGCCCCAAGGCAGCTCTTGATTTTTAGATCAGTAGTGATGGATGCTGTTTATCAGCCCCTGCCCCTCCTGCCCCGGCCCCCCGCCCAGTGCTGGGCACCCTGCATACAGACTCTCAATCTTCTTTTCAGCCCTGCGTGGCAGGAAAGCCCATATGGTGGCTGCGGATACTGAGTGTCACAGAAGTAAGACACTTGCCCGCCATGACTCAAGCCAGAGCCTCAGCCCAGGTCAGCTGACTCTAAAGCTGGTGCTCTTTCTAGAGCTCTCGTTGCCTGTGTTTTACATGACTGCCGCACCTGCTGCTCTCCGGGGTCCTGCCTGCCTGGGAGTGGGGGTGGTGGGCACCTCCCCGGTTTTCTCTCCCCTCAGGGCATCTAAGCAAGTCGGGCTGGAAATTCCCTTTGAACTGCTCTGACTTCAGGAAACCTGGTTTGTCTCTCCTCTCAAGGAAGCCTGAAGCCATGGACAGAACCTTGGGCTGGGAGTCAGAAAGCCTGGGCTCACCTCCCAGGCCAGGCTGCATCATGCTCCAACCCCTCTCTGAGCCTTAGCATCTGTGGCTGAGTGAAGACTGCCTAGAGCATCCCTGGAGCAGCCCCCTAGGCATTTTTGAAGACACTGTCCCTCACACCTCATCCCAAAATGTTCATTATGCAGGTTCTGCCCTCGAAGCTTTCAGGAGGACAGACGGCCCACGGCCACCACCTGGTGGCCAGTCATAGCCAGACAAGGCCGACGCACCCAGCAGCCTTGAAGGCACGTAAGAAATCATAAAACTGCAGGGGGCTGGGTCATCACCTTGAAACCCTGTGGACAGGGTGGGAGAGAACCCTGTGAGAGTAGATTGCATCTCCCACCTCTTCCAGACACGGGAGGGGGCCCTCCAGCTTCCCAGAGGTCAGTGGCTCAGATGGGAGGCATTGCCATCCTAGGACAGCTGAGGGGAAAAAAACACTTGAGTTTGGGGATCAGGCAGGTCTGGATTGAAATCTCTTGGGTTCTTAACCTTGGTCGAGTCCCTCATCTGTGCAGTGGGCCATTTGGGACCCATCTTGCCGGGCTGTGGACCTCTCTGCATGAACAGGCAGCCAAGGGAGGCGGCATGGGGAGAGGCTGGACCTGTGACTGAGTGCACCTTGGTGGCGCCCAGCCCTGGGGCCAGCTCTCAACTGTGGCTGCACATCCTAACACCTGATGCTTAGGCAGTGCTTCTCTCATAGCATGGCCCCCGGGCCAGCAGCAGCGGGGAACTTGTTAGAATGGGGAACTTGCACATTCTCGAGCTCCACCGCAACCCACTGCATCTGAAACTCTGGGGGTGGACCCAGCACCTGCCAGGTGATGCAGTTGCTCACTGTAGTGTGACAGCACCGTGTTCAGGTGCTGGGATGGTTGAGAAAGCACTGCAGGTGACTCAAAAACCCTAGGACCAGAATCACCTGTGGAGGTTAAAAAAAGGAACAGCTTGGCCAGGTGCGGTGGTGGCTCACGCCTGTAATCCCAGCACTTTGGGAGGCCGAGGTGGGGTGGATCACTTGAGGTCAGGAGTTTGAGACCAGCCTGGCCAACATGGCGAAACCTCATCTTTACTGAAAATGCAAAAATTAGCCAGGTGTGATGGCACATGACTGTAATCCTAGCTACTTGAGAAGCTGAGGCAGGAGAATCGCTTGGACCCAGGAGGTGGAGATTGCAGTGAGCTGAGATCCAGTCACTGCACTCTAGCCTGGGTGACAGAGTGAGACTCCATCTCAAAAAAAAAAATTGCTTGGACACCATTCCAATGATTTTTATTTAGTGGAAGCACTAAATTATTAATTATTATTAAAATAACAAGAATTCTGCCGTTGATTCTAGCGATCAGGGACAGCTCTGGTCCAGACCCTCCTCCCCATACAGGATGCCCTCCCCTCAGAGAGCCGAGCCCCGAAACAGAGTGCGGTGACTCTTCCTGGGGTGCCCTAGATGTGCAGGCAGTCCAGGGAAGAACAATTACTTATCGACACCTGGTGGGTGCTTAAGCTAGGACAGGCATGGTGCTGGGGGCTTTGCCTGCAACATCTCACAAATACCCTACGAGTTGCTAGAATTCTCATTTTACAGATGGAGAAACTGAGAAGTTCAGTAAACCACCTTAGGTCAAACAGCTACTAAATGACAAAGAGGATTCCAACCTACTTCTCTCTGACTCCACAGTTTGTTACCTTTCCTTCCTCATTTTACAAATAGGAGGGGTGACTTGCTCAAGGTTGCCGGGGTGGCACCCTTGACATTTCCTGTACCTTTGCTTCAAAGCCCACAAATGCTGTGGCACCAACTCAAGAGGAGCTGAATGCCACCCCAGGAAATAATGCCACCTCTCTGGGCATAAATGCACCAGGAATAGGGCTGGGATGCAACAGCAAAGGGTGGGATTAGTAATTAAGCCACATGCTACTTAGATTTCCAAGCCACATTTTGGACCCACAGGATTCAAGATATTAAGGAAATTGATACTTGCCCACCTCCCCAGCATAAGACTTCATTCCCTCCTAACATCACACAGAAATGGGTCCTGTCTACTGTTAACCCAGCTTGGAGAGAAGAATAAGAAGAGGACCCAGTGATGGCGTAGAGAAAATATAGAGCCACTTTACTATTAAAAATGTATTTTCCAAAAGCAAGGTAGTTGCTGTCCCAAAAAGCCGAAAGCCTCTAGTCCCTGCGGAACGGGCTGGATGGGGCTTCAGTCTGACACAGCCAGGCGGGGCAGCCCTCGGCGGGCTCGGATTCTCTGGGAGATTTGATAGAGCTCCATCGTTGCCCTCGCATCTTCCACCGAGCTGTGTCCAAGCAGGCTGTTCTGCAGACACAAGTATAGAGTGGGGACTTGGGATGAGGCTGAATTCAGAGGCCCCGTGACAGGGTCTTCCCTGGTCACATCCCGATTTCCAGAGTCCCCAGGTGGGTCAGTGGGTGAGAGTCTCTTGAGGTCTCTGACACTCTGGACTTAGGAGACTCAGCAGGTGGCTGGAGCTGGCCTGCCTTCAGCCCTGGGGCCAGTGGCACGAAAGCCAGCCTCCTGGGAACCAGGCTGTGCCTTCAAGTCACCTGCAGTCCCGCAAGGGAGGCAGAGGCTGCAGACTTGCTGTCAGACACACGCAGTGGCTGCAGCAGCTCTAACAAGAAGCTTCAGGACACTGAGGAGGGAGTGAGGAACTCCAGCTAGGGACACAGGGAAGGGCTGCTCAGAGAGAACACAAGGGCGTCAATAAATGGAAAGGAAAGGCCGCAAGCATTTCGGAGGCAGGGAGAGCATGTGCAGCTAAAATAAGAGGCCTGCGAGGGTGGGGGCAGGGGGTGTGTGAAAGGTGGTGTGGGGACGGATGGTGGGCCTGGATTTATCACTGAAGGCCTTGAATGCCGAAGTCGGGAGCCTAGACTTTATGGGGTAGTGCTATGGGAGTCGGGGGCCCTCGGTCCATTCAAGGGAGAAGCGATGACCATTTACCATGTCTTCCGTGCACTAGGCTGAAGTTAAACCTCTGAGCTGGATATGATTATTCCCCCATTTTACTGATGATAAAACTGAGGCTCACACACAAGCCAGCCAGTTGTGCAGCTGAGATGTGGATCTTGCAGAGGCGAGTACACAGGGCAAATCCTCAGTGCAGTCACCTTTCATCTCCCTTCGCATGCCCCGCTCAGCCCTGGTGTCCTGGCCGGTACCCAGCATGGGAGCCAGCGGGCTGTTGGACCTGGCTGCGTTTTCTTGGTGTCCCTCTGTCGAGAGAGGACTTCCTGTTCTCACAGGGGCTCCTTTTCCAGGCACTCCAGACAGGGTGTTGGGGACACCTGGTTAGACGGCCCAGCTCAAAAAGGCTTTTTCTTGTTGCCGTTATTACGCTGTATTGTTTTATTTTTTAATGTTTAGTTTTATTTTTTGGCTTGGACACCCTATCATTAATCAGCAAGCAGGTAGCATGGTGGCGTCGTCTGCGCTGTGCCTCTGCATACCTGCCCCTGTCACCATCCTTGACAGATGAGGAAACTGAGGCACAGGGAGGTTATGTGTTCTACCACTCTGCTCTATGGAGAAGGAAGCCAAGAACAGAAGCAGAATGCAGCACCAGCACCCTTTATTACCAAGTGGGGAGGTAAAGAGCCCCGGATTTGGAATCAGACAAACCCCAGGCTGCAATTCCCAGCTCCCCTGCTTATGAGCTCTGTGACCGTGGGCAAGTCACTTTTCCTCTCTGGGCCTCTGTTTCCTCTTCTGTGAAATGGGCCTGATTATACCTGCCTTAAAGGATGGAATGAGAGAACTGTGCCCAGCACCCTCCACAGGGCTTCATAAATGGCAGGGTCTTTCCTTTCCTGTGCAGCCCAGTCTACCATGCGCGCAGCTTGGCAGGGAGCCACAGGCCTGCTATTTCACTCCCTCGAGGGGCAGTAACACCACTGCCCAACTGTGACAGCTCTACCATGTTAGCTCCTTGTGTCCTGTGGGTCAGTTCTGGTCACAGTGATCAGTAGCACCACTGTCCATGTGAGCGGGGGCGGGCGGGAGGGCTGGTTTCTAGGGGCATCAGTGCAGGCAGGAGCTGCCTGGTGGGGTACTGAGCTTCTGGAACAACCAGGCTTAATGAGCCCAGGGACAGAGCCTGGGAGAAGGCCCTGGGTCAGGCTTAAGGCCCCAGACTGAGAGCCACAGAGCGGCAAGGGCTCCAGGAAAAGCCCAGCCTGGCCCTTATGTGCCTTATGTGCCTTGAGGCTAACAGGCCCAGACTCAGCCCTGTTCCCTACTCCGGACATGATTCCTACAGCTCTTGCCAGCAGGCTAGGGGCGGGCTCCGTGCTCCCCAGCCCCTCCCCGAGCCTCAGGCTTTGACTCACCTGGCCCCACTCTGTATGCCTTCTTCTGCCCTCCTTGACTAAGACCCTCCAGGCTCTGTTCAGATCTGGTCTCCTGCCCTGCCAGCCCCATCCTTCATCCTGCTCCCAGGGCACTGCCCTTCCCTCCGTCACACACTCCTTACCATGTGTGCTGATGATCTGGTTAAGGGCCACCTCCCAACCAACCAAGAGCTCAGGGACAGAGACGGGTCTTGCTCACCCTGCGTCTCTAGGATCTGGCCTAGAGCAGGCAGCAGGTGTTTAATAAAGAGCTGTTGACCTGAAGGGTCCCTGTGTACAGCCCTGGCTCTTAGTGTCTGGCGCCTCTCCCTCTGCCCTTCCCACAGGGTGAACTCCCAACCCCCCATATCCGTATGCCTTTTCCTGCCTGCTTTGCCCACCAGCCAGAAGTGCTGCGGAATCAGTGCCCAGGAGCAGCAGCAGCTGGTGGCTGATGGGAACTGGTGTACAAATATCCCAGTTCCCCGGCCCCTGCTGTGAGACATATCTGAGGTGAGGTGTGTGCTTTACATCATTGCCCAGAGTTCTATGGTGGGAGCAAGCTTCACTTCCCACAGGGTAACTGGCTTGATTTCAACAACAAAAGCAAACCTTTGTTGGGTGTTTTCCCTTCCCTGCCCTCATCCTCACTCTACCAGCCAGGGACCAGGCACAGCAGGACCTACCATCAATGCCTCAGGCAAGCTGCCCTGAGGTGTGCGAGGGCATGAGGGAGGAGGAGGAAAGGGAGGGGACAGGGGAGGAGGAAGGGGAAGAAGGGGAGAAGAGCGAGGAGGTGGGGGAGGGGGAGGGGGAGGAGGAAGGGGAGGAGGGCAAAGGGGGAGGGGAAGGGGGAGGAGGGGAAGGAGGAGGGGAAGGAGGAGGGGAAGGAGGAGGGGGAGGAGGAGGGGGAGGAGGAGGGGGAGGAGGGAGGAGAAGGAGGAGGAGAAGGAGGAGGGGGAGGAGGAGGGGGAGGAGGAGGGGGAGGAGGGGGAGGAAATGGAGATGGGTGAGGAGGAGGGGGAGGAGGGGGAGGAGGGGGGAGGAGGAGAAGGACGAGGAGGTTCTCACCTGGATGCTCTTGTGTAGGAGGCGCTCACTCAGCACCCGCAGGGAGACACGCCTGCAGTGGTCCAGCTTGGCCTCACGCCACAACAGCCTGTCAGTGGACGTGTCGTAGATTGTGTAGCCGCTCATGTCCTCTTTCAGTGCCTGGAAGTCGTGCTTCAGGTCATGACCCACCACCAGCTTGCCTTTCAGGAGCTGCAGGATCTGGCCAGGAAGACATGTGCCCACCCCTACATGACCCAGCATCTTCTGGGTGGGGCTGGGGCTGGCAAGGGAGCAATCCCTCCTTGACTGGCTGTGTGACCTTGGGCAAATTATCAGTCCTCCCTGGGCTTCAAATGTATCATCTTTGAAAAGAAGAGATTGCACTAGGACCCTCCTCACACCTGATAGTTTCATTCTGTGCCAAAAGCCCACCTGGACTCCTTCAGGAGCTGAACTGTGTAGGAGCAATGGTTAGTACATCCTGAGTATTTCCCAGGTGCCAAGCGTGCCTCAACATACGTCATGTATATTATGTTGTTTAATCTTCCCAACAATTCTATTATGGCAGGCAGAATAATGACCTCCCAAAGATGTCCACACCCTAGTCCCCAGGATCTGTGAATGCATTACCTGGCAAAGAGGAATTAAAGTTCCGGGCAGAACTTAGATTGCTAATCAGTCGACCTTCAAATGGGGAGATCACCTGGCCTACCCATGTGGTCCCAACATAATCACAAGCCTCCTTACATGTGGAGGTCAGAGTGAATCCACATGAGGAAAACAGGCTGTTGCTGGCTTTGAAGATGGAGGGAGGGGCCGTGAGTTAAGGTATTCAGGCAGCCTCTAGAAGCCAGAAAGGGCGAGGAAATGGATTCTTCCCCAGAGCATCCAGAAGGAACCTAGCCCCACTGACACTTTGATTTTAGACCAGTGAGACCCACGCTGAACTTCGAAACTACAGAACTGTAAGAGAAGACATCTGTGTTGCTGTGAATCACTAAGTTGATGGCTTCCTTACGGCAGCCACAGAAAACTAACAGTGAGGAGGGAGCACTGCATTTAACTGAGTTTTACAAAGGAAATATCTGAAATGCAGAGGAGTGACATGCCCAGGCTTACTCTGATGATTTTAAAACAAGTTTGCAAATTCCTTGACACTCTTCTTAAAAAAGATGGAATCAAACTCCCCTCCCATTGCATATGGGCTGGCCTGTATGACTTCTGACTTCTCTCTGGGACCGCAATTCTATAAGAAGTCCGGCCACCAGCCAGGCACGGTGTCTCACGTCTGTAATCCCAGCACTTTGGGAGGTGAGGCAGGTGGATCACCTGAGGCCAGGAGTTTGAGACCAGCCTGGCCAACATGGTGAGACTCTGTCTCTACTAAAAATGCAAAAATTACCCATGCGCCGTGGCTATTCCCAGTTACTCGGGAGGCTGAGGCAGGAGAATTGCTTGAGCCTGGGAGGGAGATTGCAAGTGAGCTGAGATCGTGCCACTGCACTACAGCTTGGGCGACTGAGCACGACTCCGTCTCAATAAATAAATAAATAAATAAATGTCTGGCCACCCCAAAGCCACCATGCTGGAAAGACCACGGGGAAAAGCCACCGAGATAGTGATGTGTCCAAGGCAGGCCAGCACCAGCCACCAGACAGGTGGGTGAGCAAACCTTCCAATGGTTCCAGCCCCCAGCCTTCAAGGTGCCTTAACTGACGGCCTGTCCTGCTGCAGAGCACCTGCCCAAACTGCAGGTGGCCGAGCGAAATAAGTATTGACATTGTTTGAACCGGTAAGTTTTGGTGTGATTTGCCAAGCACCATTTGATAACTGGGACAGTCACACGGCTAGTTAGTGGCAAAGCCAGGCCTTGAAGCCAGTGGGATGAATCCAGAGCCCGCCTGCCACTGCCACACTGAGCCAGAAGAGTGAACGACCACTCCAGGCCTCCAGCAGCCCAGGCGCCCAGCTGTGACTGCCCCAGCCCCGCGTTCCTCGCCTCGCCTCCCACATGGACAGCCTGCCCTGCTCTGGTCACACAGGCCAGTCAGCTTGCTTTCACTCAGCTGCCGTTGGAGAGGATGGGAAGGGGACCTGAAAATAGAACAGATGTGAGCTCTATTAGGGAAAGGGGCGGCTCGTGGCTAGTCCAGGCCCACTTTGGACAGCTCTAGGACAGCCTTCGTCTCCTTCTCTGCATGTAGCCCACGACCTTAGCCTGTACACCAGGAAAGAGCCTTCTGGTGCCTAACACCTTCCCCGTAGCCTGCTTCTCCTTCTAGATAGCCAGCGGCCTCCTGGAACATCATGTGTTCCCTTTTACATGTTCTCCCCTGGCAACCACAGGAGACTGAGGCTCAGAGAGGAGATGTGACTTGCCCAGGGTCACTATGCGGGAAGCAGTCTGTCCATCCACTGTCAACAGGCAGTGTCACCAGCCTGCCCCGCGGTCCACATGGTCTGGTTGGAGGCCTTCTCTGGACAGAGCTCACGCTCGACTTAGAGGACTGGGGAGAGTGTGCTGGAGAATGAAGGGGCGCTGCTCCTGAACCACACCAGCGCTTCTCAAACTTGAGTGTGCTAGAGGTCACCTGGGAAATGGCGACAAAACTGAGGCTTTAAAAGATGACAACAGGCACACGACCTCAGAGTAGCAGCTCAAGGGAAACTCTGTGCAGAGGAAACCACCCAGCACGCAGCGGCGGGCAGAAATGGCACGGGGCGTGGAGAGATGTGGGTGTGTGGGCGGCCATGGGTCATGTGTCTTTTCTTGCTAACATCCTTTGTGCTCCTGAACAATGTGGCCTGTTTTCCCCATCTAGGGGCTTGGCTCAGGCCCAGTTCACACAAAGCCCTGAAGGAACTCATCCACCATCCCAGAGGCAGCCACAGCTGGGCACAGACGTAGAAGGTACGAGTCATCATGGTGTGGATTCCCAGGAAACCCATCACTTCCCGAGCCTGAGAGTCTGGAGAGGGGAAGTGGGGGTCTACATGAGGCACTATGTGACTCACCACGAGACAAATAGAATAAGAGGGAGAGGACAAGCCGAGGAAAGAAGAGGAAGAAGGGAAAGAACAGAACCATCTATTTAGCAAAGAGACACCACTCTTTGGGACAAAGATTCTGGGAAGGAAGAGATGCTGGAACTTGCTGTGTGACCTCAGGGATGTCAAAGACCCTCTCTGGGCTTCAGTTTTCCCATTTGTAAGGTGAGGGCCCAGACTGGTGAGGCTTGAGTGGCCCTTTAGCAGCCAGGGCTCCACAGACTGAGGCAGGTCTGAAAAGGGAAGGAGTCGGGCACCTGCTGGAGCCCAGGAGTCGGAGAAAGGCACTGGCAGGCTGGCCTCGGGGCTGTGTGACCTGCTGGCCACAGGACCTGCCCTGAGTCAGTGTCATGAGGCAAGTGTGCCAGACTTTGCCACTTTCAAACACAGGGGGAGGAGTCTCTCAAATTCCTGGAAAGAACTGGGGTGGGGCTGGGGGATGGGACATTTATTGATCTCTTAGCAGCCTGGCACTGTGCCAGGCACTTTCCTTACCTCCTCAGGAAGCTCCTCAATGAGGTTATTCTTAATTCCATTTTACAGAGGAGGGAGCCCGAGATCAGAGAGATTAAGGGGCTTGCCCAAGTCACACAGCTAGTCAGCTGAAAGCTGCAGTGCCGTGTCTGGATCCACCTGACCCCATCATTGTTACTGTAGTTGTTATTATTAGCACAAGGACCAAGGGACAGGGCACTACCAGGCACACAATGATAACGGTGCAAGGCGGTGACTTCCATACCATCTGACCCGCCAGCAAAGCGGGGCGCAGGGCGGTGTGCACCCAGGTCACAAGCAGGGGAGTGCCAGACCAGGTGCGGCTGTCTGCCTGCACACACCTTCCACTGTGTTTCCACTCTACTCCAAGTATTTCCCAGATGTGCCTGATCCAAAAATCCAGGAGGGCCAGGCCCTACACAGACCTACTGAATTGAAATATCCAGGGAGGGGTGTCAGCAACTGTTTCAGGGGATTCTTCCCATCTAACAAGTCTGCACATCTCTGCACTGAATCCCGCTGAGCAGTCCAGAGCCTGCTGCCTCTACCATGCATTCATTCATCCATTATACACTAGTTCACGTACCCATTCATTCATTCTTGGCTGCCAGGAGAGGAGGCTATGAGTAAGGGGCCCTGAAGAATCTTGTTCTTACAGAGGACAGGTCCCTTACTATCACCTTCTGGAGTGGCTCCAGCCCCATTCTTTGCTCTTGTCCCCTGCCAAGCTCCCCTGGTGTCCCCGCCCCCCGGCTAGTGCCTGGTTCCCACAAGGCCACTTACCCTGGGGCAAATCTGGATATTGAAGCCTTCCTCCTTCATCTGGCTGAGACCCAGAGGGACCTGCCAGGTGGCAGGGCCCCAACAGGACACTCCCACCTGTGCAAGGGCTACCAGGCTGGCTACAGCTGAAACCTCTCCCTGTTCACAAGCTACCATGACTTCCCTTCTGTCTGCATCTGTGCCCGCGACCACGGTGCTTCTCAGGGTGGATGCCCCTCCTTATGCTGGGTTGACGTTAAAAGAGAATTCACTCACAAAACTGATTTACAAGTTACTAAAAATTACTGTTAGATTTTTTAAAAAGGAAGAAGAAAAACATTAACTCGCCAGGTGGGACCCATGAATCTGAGCAGTGATTTGTATCATAGCTTCCTGTATGTCCTTAGGCAAATCACTGCCCCTCTCTGGACGCCAGTCTCCAGTGCATGGATTCCCTCCTGTGCTGACAGTCTGATTTGTGGCGCTCTCTTATAGACCAGGGTTTCTTAGCCTTAGCACTGTTGCCATGTGGGGCCAGATACTTCTTTGTTATGTGTGCGTGGCAGGGGAGGGAGCTGCCCTGGGCATTGTGAGATGTTTGGGAGCTCTCTGGTCTCTACCCACTAGATACCGGCCACTGTGACAACCAGAAATGTCTCCCAACATTGCTAAATATCCCCTCTATATAATGGTCAGACACAGAGATGTCAGAAGATCATAAGCACTTACATTATAAAAGTAATGTCGCCACATTACAATAAATAAAAAGGGGTGGAGTGGGGGGGGGGTCCCACTCACATCAGTGGCCTAAAGCACTCCTGGGTGGACTTGGGACTCCCCGGAGCCTCCTGGCCACCATGGGCTACTTGATTGCTGGCTGCTGGCTGGGCACACTCACTACTCCTTACTGGGAGGAGACGGAGAGGTGAGGGGCCTTTGAAAAATGCCTGCATAGCCAGGCGCAGTGGCTCATGCCTATAATCCCAACACTATGGGAGGCCAAGGCAGGAGGATTGCTTGAGGCCAGGAGTTCAAGACCAGCACGGCCAACATGATGAAACCCCATCTCTACTAAAAATACAAAAATGAGCTGGGCATGGTGGCACATGCCTGTAATCCCAGCTACTCAGGAGGCTGAGACACGAGAACTGCTTAAGCCTGGGAGGCGGAGGTTGCAGTGAGCCAAGACTGCGCCACTGCACTCCAGCCTGGGTGACAGAGCAAGACTCTGTCTCAAAAAAGAAAGAAAATAATGCCTGCATGAAACCAAAGGCTGGCCAACCCTAGACTCACCTGAGAGGTGTCACCTGGCCTTGTGGGATCTCATAAAAGGGCTGTTAGGCTTCTGCCCTTTGGGGGCCCTCAGCACATTTGGGGGCCCGTGAGCCTGATCTGTCTTTGGGATTAAAACATTATGGATGATAAATGGGATCAAACTGCCTCCGGAGCCTCCAACAAATTGACACTCAGTGTCCTCATCCACAGAGACAAATAATGACCATTACTGGGCCACATTTCCACCCATGTGCTATGCAGGACCTCGCCCCTTACATACATTGGACACTTAGCATTTATAGAGTGCATTCACACACACTGAGCATGGGATCTGAACACCACAGCTCCAGCTCAGGAGCCAGAATCTGAGTCTCTGCTCTATCCCTTCCTTGGACAGCTTACTCAGTCTCATACCTCAGTTTCCTCATCTGTAAAATGGGAGTGATGGTACTAGTTCAGGGTTGTGGTGGGGAGTATGAAACGTGCTCAGAATAGCACCTGGGCCACAGGGCTGGATACACCTGTACTATTTAATCATCTCTGTGTTACAGAGGATCCTACTTAGGGGAGCACAGAGAGGTTGAGCAACAAGCTAGAGGACACAGAGCAATCCAGAGGCAAAGTTGGGATTGGATCCACATGCAGCCCAATCTAAAGACAGTGTGCTTGCTCCCTGCCCATCAGGGCTATGCATCACCACATCTCAACAGCAAAGGCCAACACAGGGCAGAGACAATTTTACTCCACGCAGCTGCCAGAACTCTTTTGTATTTATGAAAATCAGTTCAACTTCAATCCCACAAACATTCTCAAGTCACCTGTGTGCAAAACACAGGTTCCAGTCTGGGGGCAGATAAAGTGTATAGTAAGAGCTGTGGAAATAGACAGATGGTGTGAATGAATGGACGAGCTATGATGTGCATCAGCAACAGCAAGGAGGGCCAGAGGCTAGGGACCAGTGGGGCAGCGATGGTGGGCAGGAGTGGGTAAGTGCATCATAAAGGTCTCTTCTGGCCTGGGGCTGCCAGAATGATGGTATTTCTAGGGAGAGGGATGGGGGATAGGAGAGACTAGGAGTTGGCTGAAATGCATGGTAGGCAATGGCTGAGCTATGAGAGAAAGCAAGAAAGGCAGATAGATAGGGGTTTGGAGAGCCTGACTGCTAGGTGCTGAGCTGGGGGAACCTTAGGCAATAGGGAGCCATGGGAGATATTTTAATAGGGGAGGCGGCGATGATCTGAGCCAGGTTTAGGGAAGTTCTCTGGCAGCAGAGTGGGAGAGAGCAGCATGCACACAAGATACAGCCGGCAGAAAACGAGGGTCAGCATCGAAGACCGCAGTTCCCAAGAGAAGTCGGAGAGGGGACTGGGTTTCTGCCCTTCTCTCTTCATGGGTGCAATTAGCAAACATCAGCTGTGAACCAGGCACCGCGCTTAGGGCCACAGTCCATGTCACGGCATCTGACCCGCATGAGACCAGGGAGGAGGCACTAGGAGTTCTCTTTTATGATTAGGAAATGGAGCCTCAGAAAGGTTCAATAACTTGCTGACAATTGTACAAACCTATAGGTGATGGAGCAGGAACTGAGAAGCCCGGATGTGGTTCCAAAGACCTGCCTGGTCTTTGAACCCCTGCCTCATCGTTCAGTGGCTATCAAGTGCCCAGTCTGAGCAGGGTTCCGTGTCACACGCTTAAAGAGTGGAGTTGGCATATCCTCTAACTGAGAAACAAAAGCATTTCTGCACCAAATGTGGATGAAGACTGAGGCGTCCAGGCCCCGAGGCCAATGCTCAAGGGCGCCCAGGGAATTGCGGTTTTCCAGGTCTGGATGTACAGGGACTCGGAGAGGTACTGCTCTACTGCCTCCTTTCTCCCTGCTCTGGGCTCCTCTGCCCCTTTCTGTCTGTCTGATGGGGAGGGAAATTGGGGACAAGGAGGAAGGAGAGGGACATACTGCCCACCCTGACTGCTCAGTGGGAATCTGAGGGCGGGGAGCTCCTTGTGGTGTCCCTGGGCCTCCCATCAGCACCTGAACAGACTCCCACCTCTTCTTCATGTTGCCCTCACCTTTCTGGTGACTCTCCAAACGTTTTCTTCCTTTCCTAACGTTTTCTTCACTCCAATTCTCTGTCTGCCAAAGATGATGCAGGCCCTTGTAACTGCTCCCTAGGGCCTCTGACTCTTTTTTTTTTTGTCTTTTCTTTTTTTTTTTTTTTGGAGACTAAGTCTCACTTTGTCGCCCAGGCTGGAGTGCAGTGGCACGATCCCAGCTCACAGCAACCTCCGCCTCCCGGGTTCAAGCAATTCTCCTGCCTCAGCCTCCCAAGTAGCTACATTACAGGCACATGCCACCATGCCCAGCTAATTTTGTATATTTAGTAGAGACGGGGTTTCACCATGTTAGCCAGGCTGATCTCAAACTCCCGACCTCTGGTGATCTGCCCACCTCGGCCTCCCAAAGTGCTGGGATTACAGGTGTGAGCCACCATGCCCAGCCTCTGACTCTTACCGTCATCTCTTTTCTCGCTCCCATCTATCCTGCATGGTATTCCCATTCTAGTTTTCTTGAAACTGGTTTTTATCCTCCCATGCATTGCTCAAGAATCTTCAATGGCTCCCTATGGCCCACTTAATTCCCTACATAGACTCTCCTCCACCCCTTTCAAATACCACCAGCTTCACGGAGTCTTTCCAGAACCAAGATGATGTACTGTGACCATCTCCAGGGTTCCCACACTGTACTGTTGATACAGGTACAGCATCCCAAATACAAATGCTCCAGAATCCTAAACTTTCTGAGTGCCAACATGACGCTCAAAGGAAATGCTCATTGGAACATTTCAAATTTCAGATTTTCAAATTTGGGATGCTCAACCAGTAAGTATAATGCAAATATTCCAAAATCCAAAAAAATCCCAAATCCAAAATCCAAAACCCTTCTGGTCCCCAGCATTTCAGATAAGGGCTACTCAATCTGTACTTCTAGAACAGTGTTGTCCAATAGAAATATAATGCAAGCCACAGATGTAATTTTTTCTTTTTTTGAGATGGGGTCTTGCTCTGTCGCCCAGGCTGGAGTGGCAGTGGCACGATCTTGGCTCACTGCAACTTCCGCCTCCTGGGTTTAAGCGATTCTCCTGCGTCAGCCTCCTGAGTAGCTTGGATTACAGGCACCCACCACCACACCCGGCTAATTTTTGCATTTTCAGTAGAGATGGGTTTTCACCATGTTGGCCAGGCTGGTCTTGAACTCCTGACCCCAAGTGATCCACCTGCCTCAGCCTCCCAAAGTGCTGAGATTACAGGTGTGAACCACTGCACCTGGCCCACAAATGTAATTTTATATCACCCAACAGCCATGTTTCAAAACGTAAAAAGTAAATAGGTGAAATTAATTTTAACGTTTTATTTAACCTAACATATCCAAAATACTATCATTTCAACAGGTAATCAATATAAAAGTTATTGAGACATTTTATGGCTCTTTTTAATATTTTAATTATTATTATTTTTTAATAGAGACAGGGTCTCTCTTACCCAGGCTGCAGTGCAGTGGCATGATCATAGCTCAGTACAGCCTCAAACTCCTGGGCTCAAGCAATACTTCACCTCAGCCTCCTCGAGTAGCTGGGACTACAGGTATGCACCACCATGTCTGGCTAATTTTTATTTTATTTATTTATTTTTTTTGTAGAGGAGATCTCACCATCTTGCCCAGGCTGGTCTCAAACTCCTGGGCTCAAGCCATCCTTCTGCACTGGCCTCCCAAAGTGTTGGGATTACAGCCATGAACAACTGCATCTGGCCTGTCTCTTTTTTAAATACAAGGCTTCAGCCAGATGCAGTGGCTCATGGCTGTAATCCCAGCACTCTGGGAGGCTGAGGTGGGTGGATCACTTGAGGTGAGGCATTCGAGACCAGCCTGGCAACATGGTGAAACCCCGTCTCTACTGAAAATACAAAAATTAGCCAGGCGTGGTGGTGCACAGCTACTTGGGAGGCTACTTGGGAGGTCAAGGCGGGAGACTCCCTTGAACCTGGGAGATGGAGGTTGTAGTGAGCCGAGATCGCGCCGCCACACTCCAGCCTGGGCGATAGAGCGAGACTTCGTCTCAAAACAACAACAAAAAATCCAGTGTGGACTTTACACTTTCAGCACATCTCAGTTCAAACCAGCTACACTCCAGGTCTGAATTCAGTCTACTAGCAGCATATGGCTGCTGGGGACCCCACTGGACAGCATAGTTCTAGAGACTGTAAGCCTGAGTTTGGATTCCTGAGCAGTTGTCCCATATTCCATCTATCTTAACAGCGTAAGTTACTCAGTTTATGGGTTGAACTGTGTCCCGCTCTCTCAAATTCATATGTTAAAATCCTAACCCCCAATACCTCAGAACGTGATTTATTTGGAAATAAGGTCGTTGCAGATAGAATTAGTTAAGGTAGGATGAAGTCACACTGGAGTAGTAGGGTGGGCTCATAATCCAATATGATTGGTGTCCTTTGAAAAAGAGGAAGTTGGCTGGGCACAGTGATTCACACCTGTAATCCCAGCAATTTGGGAGGCCAAGGAGGGCAGATCACCTGAGGTCAGGCATTCAAGACCAGCCTGGGCAACAGGGCGAAACCCCGTCTCTACTAAAAATAAAAAATTAGCCAGGCGTGGTGGCGGACACCTATACTACAACTTGGGAGGCTGAGGCGGGAAAATCGCTTGAACCCAAGAGGTGGAGATTGCAGTGAGCCGAGATCGTGCCACTGCAGTCCAGCCTAGACAACAGAGTGACTCTGTCTCAAAAAAAAAAAAAAAAAAAAAAAAAAAGAGGAAGCTAACCAGGTGCAGTGGCTCATGCCTGTCATCCCAGCACTTTGGGAGGCCAAGGCAGGCGGATCGCTTGAGTCTAGCCTGGCCAACATGGTAAAACCCCATCTCTACTAAAAATACAAAAATTAGCTGGGTGTGGTGGCTCGTGCCTGTAGTCCCAACTACTCAGAAGGCTGAGGCAGGAGAATCACTTGAGCCTGGGAGGCAGAGGTTGCAGTGAGCCCAGATCCTGCCACTGCACTCCAGCCTGGGCGACAGAGCAAGACTCCATCTCAAAAATAAAAAATAAAAATAAAAAGAGGAAGTTTGGACACACACAGAGAGAATGCCATGTGAACATGAAGGCAGAGATCTGAGTGAGGCATCTATAAGCCAAGGTACCCCAAAGCTTTGACAACAACCCCTAGAATCTGGGAGAGGGGCAGGGAACAGATTCCCACTCACAACCCTCAAAAGGAACCAACCTGGGCGACACCTGGATCTCAGACTGCAGCCTCCAGAACCCCGAGACAGGACATTCCTGTTGTTTAAGCCACCAGTGTGTGGTGCTTTGTTATGGCAGCCCTAACAAATAATCAAGCGAGCCCCAGTTTCCTCATCTGTAATATGGGGATAATAAGGTAAACAACCATGGCCAGATGCGGTGGCTCATGCCTGGGACTTTGGGAGGCCGAGGTGGGCGGATCACCTGAGGTCAGGAGTTCGAGCGAGACCAGCCTGGCCAACATGGTGAAGCCCCATCTCTACCAAAAATGCAAAAAAAATTAGCCGGGCATGGTGGCGGGTGCCTGTAGTCCCAGTTACTTGGGAGGCTGAGGCCAGAGAACCACTTGAATCCTGGAGGCAGAGGTTGCAGAGAGCCAAGATCATGTCACTGCACTCCAGCCTGGGTGACAGAGAGAGACTCCGGTTAAAAAAAAAATAATAATAAAACAGACATACAAAAAAACAATCAAAACAGTTAACTTTTTTTTTTTTCCTGGCTCTGTTGCCCAGGCTGGAGTGGGTGCCATCTTGGCTCACTGCAGCCTTGACCTTCTGAGCTCAAGTGATCCCAGCTGCTGGAGTAGCTGTGACCATGGGCATGTGCCACCATGCCCGGCTAATTTTTGTACTTTTTTTTGTAGAGATGGGGTTTCTCCATGTTGCCCAGGATGGTCTTGAACTCCTGAGCTCAAGCCACCCATCTGCCTCCGCCTCCCACCGTGCTGGGATTATAGATGTGAGCCACTGCACCCAGCCAATAGCTAACATTTTTTTGAGTACCTATTTAGGCACTCTATCTAGACCCTTTCTCAATCCTCGCAATAACCCAACAAAGTTGCTACTACTATTATCCTTCTTTTCTTTTACTGGGTACAAAGAGGTTGAGTAACTTGTCCAAGGTACCTTAGCTGTTAAGTAATGGGAACTGAGATTGAAACTGACCCTCTTAACTCTGCGTTAACAGTTCCTGAGGACCTGCCTGGCAGGGCTGTTTGTGAGGAGTGAATGAGCTCAGGAATGGCCAGTGCTTAGGGGAGCGGCCAGTGCATAGTGAGTGCTCAGTCAATAGTAGCTATTGTTGTCATTTCATCCCCAGCACCTGGAGCCTGGCACGGATTGGGTGTGTGCTGCTGAGGAACCTGTGTTCTTCTTGGACTTCCTCAAACCCTACCATGGTGTCTAGAAACTGACGAGCTCGCCTGCCCTTCTGAGATTTCCCAGGGGTGGCTAACCGTGTTGACACCTTTAAGTTTTGCTTTCCACTTAGTAATTCAGAGAAACAGAAAGTGAGACGGGGAGATGACCTCACAATCAGCTAAGAGCAAGAGTGCAGGAAATCCCTGGACCACGAACTCAGGATTCAAACTGAGCAGACAGCCTACTCTGGGTCAGAATGCTAGCCTGAGAGCAAGGTCCTCAGCCCGAGGCTCAGCCTGTTCTCCAGGACTGGGAGGGCCAAAGCCTCTTGCCAGAGCCTCAGCCAAGAATCCTCTCATTTCCCCACAGGTCTCACCAGTGGCAGCCTGGGGTAGAGGGAAGAATGGGGAATGTAGACCCCAAGTCACTGTGTGGGGGAACTCAGTTTCCCCATTTTAAGACCGGCAAGTTGGACCAGATCCAGATAGATGCCCCAAAGGCGGCTTCCAGATGTGAGTCTATGGTTCTCTGAAGACAGGAAGCCTTCTCCAGGATGTGATGGAGACACCACCGGCTTTCTCCCAACAGCAGTGTGGGAAATCTTACAAGTGGGGTCACAGGTCACAGATGGGCACCAGGGAAGAGGGGCCAGGGAAGTGGGAGAGGGGTTATTTCCAAAGCCCCTGCTGGCCGGGCCTTCACTCACCTCTAGCCTGGCCACGGCAAATGGTGTGGCCCCCACCATGTGCTGAGGGGTGACCCCGCTGACCCGGGTTCTGTAATCGGTGATCTCTCCCTCAGGCCGGATGAACTTGTCGTACAGCACAGCACCGTGGACGTTCACGAGGCTGCAACGAGCCAGGCCACTCTCCCGGTGGGGCCCCAGCCCCACCATCTCGCAGTCCATGGCCACCACCTCACGGCTCCCAGCCATGTTCCTTGGGGACCCTCAGAGATGCTGGAGAGAGGGGTATGGGGGGCGGTCTCACGCTTGGGCAAACCAAGCCTCCAGGTGTCCTCAGCCAACCCCAGCTGGCCTTACCCTCCGCCCTGCCCTTTGTTTCCGACACCACCTGGCCACAGTGGAAGCTGGCCTCTTGCCTCCCCCATCCCCTGCCTTACCCTGCCCGTGTGTCCCAGGGCCTCTGGCCTGCCCCGCAGCCTGGGGACCGGGAAGGCCCCTCCCGCTGCCTCCCCAGCTGCTGCTCCAGCTCCCGCTCTCACCTGCCTGCCTCTGCGCCCTCAGCTCACGTCTGCCTCTCTGCTGCCACTGCTCAGCTACTGCAGCTGCTCTCAGCGGTGACTCATCTCTAACTCCAAGCCGGCATCGGCATCCCGACCCTGTTTCAGTTTCTAGTTTGTTATCAAGTGAAGTCAGGGGCGGAAGGCCGGGCACGTGGGCTGGGCTGCTCCATCTCCTGGGCTACCGGCAGGTGGGGAGCTCAGCTCCGGGCCGAGTCAGGGCTGACGGAGCTGGCAGGCTCCATGTCAGGGTGCCCCTCCTTTGCCCCGGCCCTCCCCCTCCTCAGATGACGCATTTGACGTTCGTGGAGTGGATTGCAACATCTTTGTTTCCTTTCTCACCCTCCGCCCAGAGAATAAACATCCCCAGGACTGGAGCTCAGGGAATGTCCCACAACTAACTTCTGGAGCCTGCTACCAGTCTGATACTCAGTGGTCTCTTATGGGGTAGGGAAGCTGGCTCTTGGGACATACAGGCTTTTATTGGAATGGGCAGGAGAAACTTGTGGTGGGAGTGGCTAGCCCCCACTTCCAACCCAGGGAAGGCAAGGAGCAGCGAGGGAGCCCTTACAGGCCTCCGTGGGTTCCAGATGCCTCAATGAGCTCTGCCTCCAGTGGGGCTGACTCTGTGAGGGTGAAGGAGAAGCAGGCCTTCGGGGAGGCCCCACCAGCCCGGCCACACTTCCTTGGGTCCACACTCTCCCAGGCTAGGACTTTGAGCTCTTAGAACAGTGCCTGCCAGATAGGGAGGGCTTGGTATTTAGTGAATGTCAAATGAGTTACAACTGGGGCAAAAAGAAAATCAACTTTCAATGAGGGAAGTGCTTGTCTTTCACTGTGGTGAGATCCAACAATAAGCTGAGCGTTACCCACGCTTGCCTCCTACCCCAGATCTGTGCAGAATCCACACTGATCCCTCCAATCTGACTGCCTCCCAGTGTCATGAAGATCTGTGGTTTGAAAAGTAACTTCCCCAGGTCTGTAGTATTTTCACCAAGTGGGATTTGGATGCCCAACTTTAACAAACCTCAAAAATAAAACCAAAGACTGAAATACGTCTTCATGAGAAAGCCCTGCTCCTGCTTACTGTTCACTGGATGCAAATTTGAGGTGTGAGAGTTTTTGATTCCCATCCTGAATAAGCAACTTTTGCTTTAATTCAGACTGTGTGGGGACTTTATGCTTTTCAAATGCATAAAGGTTACCCTGATTTAGGAGGAAATGAAGTAACATTCCTGTTACTTTATGGAAACATGCACTTAAAAAGTAACCCCCTAAAGATCCAATCATAGGTTTGATTCTACAATCCCCATAGGACCCCCCAGTGCCCCGTGGTGCTCCTCAGACAGGAACATGTTTGCTGCAACCCCTCATACCTCCACCTCTGCTCACCTCCTCGGGTCTCAGTCAGAACACATCCCACTCCTCCAATATTTTCCCCATGGTTCTGTGCCTGCTCTGTCTCACCTGAGCTGCCTCTAATTCTTACCGTTTCCCCTTTCCTGTGGAAGTCCTACCCTAGTCCTCACCTGCCTGGCCTGTGCGGCCGCAGGAGTCGCTCCCGGGTCTCCCACCTCCATCTTCATGCCCTGCTCAAAAGGGTCCTTTGAGTCCTACCATGTTACATTTCCCAAAATCTAATCTCTTGTACTGTTCATCACCGAGGCACTTCTCTGCTCAAGAAATTTTGTGATTTCCTGATGTCCAAAAAAAAAAAAAAAAAAAATCAAACCTCAACTCCAGGCAGTTTCCAGACCCTCTTCCATCAGTCCACCAGCCTTCCCAACCTCATCTTGCATCACTATCCAATTTAAGGCCTTTCTTTTAGGTTTAAACCCACATCCAGGGCTTTGGTTTATGCACATGGTGACTTCTGCCAAACCATCAGCAGGTTGTTCTGAAACCCCCTGCATCTCCCAAGGACTAGGTCTGATGGCCAGAGGGACCAGTAAGATCAGGTCTCTGCTTCAGGTGGAAGAGACAGGAAGTGCTACAAAGGTAAGCCCCTCTCCCATGCCCTTACCATTCCCACCTCCCACACTTCCAACCACACTGGCTCTTTCTGTCTTCCTCCAACATTCTGGTCATGCTCCTGTCTCAAGGCCCAGGCATTTGCTGTCCCCTTACTCTTGAAAGGTCTTCCAATGTGGCCTGGGGGGTCACATTGCTCCCATTCCATGACGTCTTTCCATGAAGCTGTCCCTGACCTCTCTATTTAAAACCGCACTTCCTGCCAGGGCGATGGCTAGTGTCTATAATCCCAGTTACTCCAGGCTGAGGCGGATTTGCTTGAGGCCAGGAATTCGAGACCAGCCTGAGCAACACAGGGAGATCTCATCTCTAAAATTAAAAAATAATCCATTGTGGTGAATCACACCTGTAGTGCTAGCTTCTCCAGAGACTAAGCTGGGAGGATCAATTGCACCCAGGAGTTTGAGGCTATGACAGTGCCAATACACTCCAGCCTGGACAGCATAGGGAGACCTTGTCTTTAAAAACTAAAAGTTTACTTCCTATCCCCTTCTCTGGCCTTTTCCCATAGGAATTAGCACCCTCTGAAACTGTATTTTACTTGTTCATTTACTGTTCCCCCTGCCATCTGTTTAGTTCAAAACTGGGGCCCCAGCACCTAGAACCCTGCCTGGGTCCAGCTGAACTGTTTTTCAAGTGTATTGTGTGCTCTGATGTTGGACGCCAGGCACCGGTGGCCCAGTACCCAGAGAGAAGCCCGACCCCAGCCAGGGTTTCCCGGTGCCGACGCTCTACCTTTAACTGGCGTCACCCATCGGCAGGCTACGCCCACAAATCTTGTTGGATCAGGTGACAGTAGGTGAGTCACTCAGGGCAAACTTGTCAGCCTTTCAAGGCACACATCCAGCTACAGCTGACCACCTGTAATGACCATAACAGGTACAAGTCGGCCACTCTGTGGCCCTCTCTGGATCCACAGCACTGGCCTCAGGCTGAGACAACTCACACTGGAGGGCGAGAGGCCCCTCTCCCCACAAGGGACACGCTCTCCCAGTCCAGCCATCTCCAGTCCTGCTGGGCATGTACGCCTAAAATGTGTATGTGTATTCCTAAATTGTGGTTGGCCCTTGAACAACATGGGCTTGAACTGCACAGGTCCACTTACATGCAGATTTTTTTTCAATAAATATATTGGAAATTTTGGGAGAGATTTTTCAACAATTTGAAAAAACTCAGATGAATTGCACAGCCTAGAAATATCAAAGAAATTAAGAAGCTACTTATGTCATGAATGTATAAAATACATGTAAATACTAGTCTATTTTATCACTTACTACCATAAAATATGCACATCTATTATTAAAAGGTAAAACTTAACAAAACTTACCTACTTACAGACCACACGTGGCACCATTCTCAGTCAAGAGAAATGTAAACCAATGTCGGGATGCAGTCTGAAACCGTAACTGCATAAAATTAACTATAGTACACAGTGTGCTGTTAATGTAGCCACTTCCTGTTGTTACTGTAGTGAGCTCAAGCGCTGCAAGTATCTGCTTAAAACGTGTGTGACACTACCCATCCCCGCTTCAGCAGTTCATATCCAGGACATCTGGTATCCCAGTAAGATGGAAAAAGTGATTTCTTGCAGTTTTTGTGGTATTTTTCATCATGCTTAGTGCAATACTGTAAACCTTGAATCCCACCATGGGACCCATATGAAGTGCCACTACTGATGCTGGAAGTGCTCCCAAGAAGCAGAAAACAAGTCGTGACATTACAAGAAAAAGCTGAATTGCTTGATATGTACCACAGATTGAAGTCCACAGCTGTGGTTGCTGCCATTTCAGACAGATGTTTCATCTCATATGTAAATACAGTAAAAACCTTACAATACCGATAAATACAGTAAATATATTTTATCTTCCTTATCATTTTTTCTCTCACTTACTTGATTATAAGAATACAGTATATAATACATATGACATATAAAATATGTGTTATTTGGCTACCTGTTATCAGTAAGGCTTCCAATCAAAAGTAGGCTATTAGTTGAATTTTTGGGGAATCAAGTTACATGCACATTTTTGACTGTGTGGGGAGTCAACACCCAATCCCTATGTTGTTCAAGGGTCAACTGTATATACTAAAGGTTGAACCATAAGAAACAGTGTGGCCGGGCACGGTGGCTCACGCCTGTAATCCCAGCACTTTGGGAGGCCAAGGTGGGCAGATCCCATGAGCCCAAGGGTTCAAGACCAGCCTGGGCAACATAGAAGACCTCGTCTCTACTAAAAATGTAAAAAATCAGCCAGGTATGGTGACATGCACCTGTAGTCCCAGCTATTATACTTGGGAGGCTTAGGCTGGAGGATCACTTGAGCCTGGGAGGTTGAGGTTGCAGTGAGCCAAGACTGTACCACTGTACTCCAGCTTGGGTGACAAGTGAAACCCTGTCTCAAAAACAAAAACGAAAAGCAAAAAACTAGAATATTAGCAATTTCATGTGGTTTAATACATGTAAAACTATGCTGATACATATTACAAAACACATGTTAAGAAAATTAGTTAAAAAGGAACTGTATACCAAAAAGCATGTAAGAAGATGCTCAATATTACTAATGATTAGGGAAATGCAAATCCAAACCACATCATCTCATACCCATTAGGATGGCTGCTATGGAAAAACAGAAAAAAATGTTGGCAAGGACGTGGAGAAACTGAAACCCTTGTTCACTGTTGGTGGGAATGTAAAATGGTACAGCTACTAAAGAAAACAGCACAGCAGTTCCTCAAAAAAAACTATAGGCCAGGCGCGGTGGCTCACGCCTGTAATCCCAGCACTTCGGAAGGCCGAGGCGGGTGGATCACCTGAGGTCAGGAGTTCCAGACCAGCCTGGCCAACATGGTGAAACCCCGTCTCTACTAAAAATATAAAAATTAGCCAGGCGTGGTGGCATGCGCCTGTAATTCCATCTACTTGGAAGGCTGAGACAGGGGAATAGCTTGAACCCAGTAGGCAGATGTTGCAGTGAGCCAAGATCGCGCCATTGCACTCCAGCCTAGATGACAAGAGTGAGACTCTGTCTCAAAAAAAAAAAAAAAAAAAAAAAAAAAAAAATTACCATATAATCCAGCAATTCCCCTGCTGGGTATATATTCAAATAAATTGAAAGGAGGGTCTTGGAGAGGTATTTGTACACTTGGGAGCACTTTCAGCATGTTCATAGCTGCATTATTCACAACAGCCAAGGGGGGAAGTAACCTAAGTATTGTTGACTGACAGATGAATGGATAAACAAAGCATGGTATATACATACAAAAGATCATTCAGCCTTAAAAAGAAAATTCTAGCCAGGTGCAGTGGCTCACTCCTGTAATCCCAGCATGCTGGGAGGCCAAAGCAGGAGGATCACTTGAGGCCAGGAATTCAAGACCAGCCCGGGCAACATAATGAGACCCCGTCTCTAAAAAAAAAAATAAAAAAAATAGTTGCCAGGCATGGGGGCACATGCCTGTAGTCCCAGCTACTTAGGAGGCCGAGACAAGAGGATAACTTGAGCCCAGGAGTTTGAGTCCAGCCTGGGCAAGAGTCTCTTAAAAAATAAAATTCTGACACATGCCACAACATGGATGACGACACTGTGCTAAGTGAAATAAGCTCGTCACAAAGTGACAAATACTGTATGATTCCACCTGTATCAGCTATCTAGTCAAATTCATAGAAGTAGAAAGTAGAATGGTAGTTGCCAGGGGTTGAAAAAAGGGGGAAATTGCTGGGCGCGGTGGCTCACACTTGTAATCCCAGCACTTTGGGAGGCTGAGGCAGGGGGATCACCTGAGGTCGGGAGTTCGAGACCAGCCTGACCAACATGGAGAAACCCTGTCTCTACTAAAAATACAAAATTAGCCGGCCGTGGTGGCGCATGCCTGTAATCCCAGCTACTCGAGAGGCTGAGGCAGGAGAATTGCTTGAACTCGGCAAGTGGAGGTTGTGGTAAGCCAAGATCACGCCATTGCACTCCAGCCTGGGCAACAAGAGTGAAACTCTGTCTCAAGAAAAAAAAGGAATAAAAGAAAAAAGGGGGAAATGGAAAGTGTCAGTTTCACAAGATGAAAGAGTTCGAGATCTGTTGCACAGCAATGTGGATACAGACATAACACTATTGAACTGTACACTAAAAGTAGTTAACATAGTAAATTTTCTATGTGTATTCTACTACAATTAAAAACTTTTTTTAAGTGAGTACATAGCTTCAGGGAGAAACAAAAAAGTTAAAACAAATATGGCCAGGTGCGATGGCTCCTGTTTGTAATCCCAGCACTTTGGGAGACCGAGGTGAGTGGATTCCTTGAGTCCAGGAGTTTGAGACCAGCCTGGCTAACATGGTGAAACCCCGTCTCTACTAAAAATACCAAAAAAATTAGCTGGGCGGGGTGGCGCATGCCTGTCATCCCAGCTACTTGGGAGGCCAACGTGGGAGGATCTCCTGAGCCTGGGAAGTCGAGGCTGCAGTGAGCCATGATTGCACCCTGCACTCTAGCCCAGGCAACAGGAGTAAGACCCTGTCTCAAACAAAAAACAAAACACAAAACTTGTGCTCTGTAATAGGGCAATAAGAAATAAATTATCTAAATTCTGTAGCTCTGCTAGTTTCTTGCTGGAGCCCACTGCATCCTCTTGAAAACTGCCTTCTCGAAGTCCAAAGCACCCAGCAAGGCTTAGTGCCCCAGTCCCCCTCCCAAACCCCCAATGAGCCACCCTCCAATCCCAGCTTGAGAATTCACAGGAAGGGCCACTTCACCCACGTTTCCAATTGAGTTTTATTCTAGAACAAATGGTTTTACAACAAAGCTGATCTTAAATAGTACATTTCCCCGCTGATAACAGCACCATCTTCCTTCGACCCCCAGACCAAGGGATCAAAGCTACTGCTCAATTGAGTTTGACATCAGCTACCGACTTTTAAGGAATCTAGAACAAAGTTCTGGAGCCAGGCCAGAAGTGGTAAAAGATTCAGTTAGCCCCTTCCTCTGTGCTGTGCTGACAGGGAGGGAGCCAGTGACTGGACAATCTATGACCCCAAGTTTGTGGAACGTGGGGCTTCAGCTGAGGGTGGGGTAGTGTGATTTCAGCAGTGTCTGTACCTCCCTGACCCCTGCGCTGCTTTGCTCTGTTGTCACCTCCCGCACAGTGTCGGGACACTGACCGGAAGCCAAACCTGTGCCTGGTGGCCACAGACAAGACACACGGATATCCGTGAACCTTGCTGCTGTGCCCTCACCGAGGCCAGCGCCCCACCTGCTGGAACAGCCAAGCCGGAGCAGTTCTGTCTGGGCCACAGCTGCTCAGCCTGTGGACTCAGGTGTTATCCTGAAGAAGTTACAACAAATTCTCAAAGAATAAACAATGGGCTTAAAAAAAAAAAAGGGGGATAAACAGAAACTCACAGTAGCTGTGGCTCACCATGTGCCAGGCACTGTGCCAAGCACTTCACATTTAGTGCTCATTACAACCCTATGAGGTAGGCCGTACCACTATCCCCACTTTACAGATGAGGAAAAAACAGCCTCAAGAGTGAAGTCCCTCGCTTGCTTAGTATCTCAAAGCTAAGCTGCAAGCAAAGATGGGGCTCCAAGGTCTGTGTGACCTGAGCTCTTGGTTATCCAATACTTCAAAACTGTCACTTAGGAAAGAAGAGAACATTTTTAGAAATAGGAGAAAACCCAACAGCCACAGTGATTGTCAAAGAGCTGAGGGGGCATCAGACCAGGTTCGGGGGCACCAGACCAGGTTCAGGGCCACTGCGTAACTGCCAATGCCCTGCCCCAGCCCCAGGAGACACGCAGACTCCACTGCCCTAGACGAGTGGCCCTGCTGTTAATAAATAAATAAAGGTCAGGCACAATCCTACACAAAGGCCCCAGAATTCAAACCACTGTCTTGTTTCTCAGACTTTTGCTTAAGAGCCCAGTACTGGGTGGACTGGGGAAATCCCTGATTTGGGTCAAAATAAATATGCCAGTTCTCGTCCAAAGCTTACCTGCCTTCCCTCCTCCCTGAGCTGTGCCTGGGGCTTTCTGTTGCCAAGAAATGTTAAGGAGCCAACTCCCCACGAGAAGCCTGTGGGCTCTGCTATTCCACTGTAGCCTAGCAGGGAGCTGACAGGCCAGGCACGGAGTTCCTACAATGGCTGTAGCCAGAGTTCCAGGTCAGGGAGGTGGGGAAGAAATGCCTCCTTTAGGACTTAACTCCTCTTTAACTTCAGGACATGTTTATTCTGAACCCAAATGAGTGGAGGAAGAGGTAGGCAACAAAAGGAAGAGAACTTTACCCCCAAGTCATTGAGTTGGGGTAAGGGAGCTCCAGGATATTGACACCCCCACCCACCATCCCCAGAGAGGATGATATGATCCCTTTCATTAGCACAGCATGATGACTCAGGAGATCTGGGGGGTGGGGAAGGCCACGGCAACCTGGGCAGTCTGTTGGCACATTCCCTACTCCTGCTGGGCCCTAGAAGATGGTCCACCTGACATCTCCATGGAGTCTGTAAAGTGCCATTAGCAAAACCACAGGAGTCAGAAGAAAGAACCAACAGCCCTGGAGAGAGAGAGGGCTATGCTGTGTGCAGAGGGTGTCAAGGTAACAGATGACCCCTACTCCTCTGGCCCTGGGGCTGGCTCACTGCATCCTGCCCCACCCTGCCCAGGAAGGAGTGCCCGCTGCTCTCCTGGCCCCCACTTCCTACCGGCCACACCGGAAGCCCAGCCAGGGAGCCCCGCCCCCTTCTCAATTCCTTCTGTCCT
The DNA here is from genome assembly GCF_000001405.40 of Homo sapiens. Classification (NCBI taxonomy): domain Eukaryota; kingdom Metazoa; phylum Chordata; class Mammalia; order Primates; family Hominidae; genus Homo; species Homo sapiens. The sequence continues at coordinate 88,630,277 of NC_000015.10, read as the reverse complement.
GTGCCTCCCTGGCTCCTCCTCTGCTGCCGTGGGCCAGGTCATCGGGCCAGTACTGGTCCTCCATGTACTGTTCCATGTCTGTGCTGCTGTCAGGTTCTCTGTCCTCGGGGCAGGTCCAGAGGCTGCGGGCCTCCTGCTGTTCCCACTGCACCTCCACCAGCCGGTAGAGCTCCATGGCTGTCGTGGCATCTTCTACTGATGAGTGCCCGTGCTGGCCCACCTACTGACGAGAGCCAACACATCACTGCCTGCAGGCCTAGTGAGAGGCCTGTTACCCCAAGAAGCAAGGCCAGTTTCCCAGGGCTCTTTGTGCAGGCCCAAGAATACGTATGCTCAGAATGGAGGTTCACAGAAAAGGGATGGAACCTCAACTGTACACCATAAGCCATGCAGCTTCTCCAAGCCTGTTTTCCTCAAATATAAGGCATGCTAAAAATCTCTTGCTTCAAAGGCTTGCAGATCAGATGAATAATAAATGTGAAGCCCAACAGGAGCAAGAGGTACTGGCTCCTCCTGATCTAAGGCTCTATGTCTGCTAGTAGGGGATGGGAGACCATGCTTCAGGGATGCAAGAACCAAGAGTTAGGGAGGGGACAGATCTGGAAGAGATCGGCCTAGGAGAATGTGTTCTGGGAGAATCGCAGTACACACTGGGGAAGAAGGATCATGGAGAGAAACACCTGGAGCTGCGTGTACAGGAGGGAGACCCATTTAAGCAAGGTCCCTGGACCTGGACTAGGGAAGAGAATGACAAGGAGGCTGGAGACACAGCCCAAAGCCTTGTCTGTGGCTCAGGTGGCATGGAGGCCAGGCGGGCCTCCCTCCCTTCCAGCCACTCTCCCACCACGCACCTGGATCTTCTTGTGCAGCAGCTGCAGGGCCAGGTCCTTTAGAGAGACCCGGGCCCGGGTGTGGAGGCCGGGCTCGCTGAGGAAGTTTGGGACATAGGTCGTATCCCGGGTCTGGCTCCGAGGGTGGACATACTTGAGCGCCTGGAAGTCGTTGTGCAGCGCGTGCCCCACCACCACCTTGCCCTTCAGGAGCTTAAGGATCTGTGAGCAGAAAGAGGAGTCAGGGAGGTCACCCCACACCCCATCAGGTTGGCAGGAGACACGCCCTGAGAACCCCTGGCCAATAGATGCATGGATCCCTGTGGGGGGAGGCAGCACCGAGTGGGGAGATCACGAGCTCCACAGTCAACCATGCTGCCCCAAGTCTGAACCCAGACCCTTCTACTGTCTATACCCAGGGGCATACCTATGTCTTCTGCACCTGTCAAAGGGAAACACTGCCAGCAGCATTCCGTGGGGTGGCTCTAAGGACTAAACGAGGTCATGGATGGAAGTCTTCCTGTTACCAGATACAAGCAACTCTATTGCTGGTGTTGGCTCTCCTCTCAGCCTGGAAGACGTCACCAGGCCTCCCACTCCACCCAACTCTCCCCCACCGCACTGTAAGGTCTGTGAGTGCAGGGACCATGTTGGACTTCTTAGTGATGCTCCAAGGAAAGCGTCACATTTATTCTTTTTTTTTAATGCCTATCTTTTTCCTGTAGTAGAAAGCATTACATTTATTGATTATTTACTTATCACAGGAGGTGATCAATAAAGACCAGCTGGGTGAAGTCAACAGAACCGTGCCTGTCACTGGTAGACACACCATAGCAGCAGCTCTTATGAGCATTAAGGGCCATAATCCCTGTCTTCAGGACTCTGCCCCCTTGCCCTGCTGTGTACCAACTCCTCCTCATCCTCTTAACCTGCTCTCTTGCTCAGCTCTGGCTGCCTGCACAATGTGTACCTCCCTTCCCTGCTGGGTGGCCCTCCTCATACACCAGGGAGGCCACGCCCAGGGCCATGGGCCAGCAACCCCCTCTAGCCCTCTTAGCTGGGCTTGGGCTCTCCTTATCACCAGCTGCGGGCCTCCACAGCCTACCTCTGCTGGCAACATATGTTTATCCCCAAACCCAGCTTTCATGGCAGATGGATAAGATGCATTGAGACTTTATAGTAGGGACATGCCACCATGCTGGTCACTCACCACACTGCCCCTCCCCCCAAGTCAGCCATGAAGTGGAAAGAGATGAAGCACAACCCACAGTGGCTCGGAGTCTGGGCAGACAAAAAGTGGTCCTGCTCTTGGGACCACCACCAACCAGGTCAATGGAAGGGACCAAGGAGCTGGAGGGTTCACCACACACCTCCCCTCTTGTTGCTACTCTTACTGATTGGCCTGCTTGATACATAAAATAACCTCCGATCATTTCAAAGGAATGCTCGGGCCACAATGTTATGTGAAAAAGTAGGACACGAGATAGTGTACACCAGTATTTCCCAACCTTGCCTAATCCCAAGAATAACCCAGAAGTGTTAAAAAGTGGTTCTGTTACAAGGCTTGTTTAGAAAATGCAGATTTGTCTCAATGCAATTGATGTATGACACATTTTGAGAACAATGCAAATTTCACCTTTGCTTGTGCATAATTTCATCCTTGAGAAACACTGAATGAACGCAGAAAACTGCATCCAACTGAACTAAGCCAAGAGGGCATACACAATATGCACACAGCCCAAACATCTCCCAGCAACCCTAGTTCACCTGTGTGATGAGCCACACCCATCCACAGCTGGTGTCACACTTCCTGTCTGACTTCAAAGAACTCTCCTTCAACCACTTCACAGAAACTCAAGCTGCAACCTTTCTGACTCCTCTTTCCACAAGCAAGTTCAGGTCTTTTTCAAGGTAAAGTGCCATACTTATTGGTGTATTGTGCATTTCTTAACCATTTAAGATGTGTGGAATAAAAAAAAAAAAAAAAAGAAACAAGATGCGTAAAACTGGACTACCTTTTTATTAGGTTTCTATCTTATTTTTGGGGTGTCACTGATGGCCTTTTTAATACTGTTCCCTTTCTCCATTTCCCCTTAAGCCCTGTGGCTTTATGGTGCAAGTCTACACAGTGTGATGATTTTTTGGAACATGGGTCAGAGCCCTCCCCAAGCCTAATGGATCAGGAACTCTATGGAGGGAACTGGGGACAAGGATCCTAGATTGTTAAAAAGGACTTAGGTGTTTCTAAGGTCAAGCATGTTTGGGAATTCCTGGTGCATCAGTGTGGTCCCAACCACTAATTAATTTTTTCTAAGCACTAAGAAACTAACATAAGGAAATATGCCAAAACATCCATACCTGAACGTGATGCCACTGTGGGCTTTACAAATTTTATATCAATGCGTACAACTTTTATAACAGAAAGCAAACTCTAAAATGTAAGCTATTTATCACCTTACAGTTGGTGTAGCCTTTCTACATTGTCCTGTGCAACAGGCCAGCAATCCTTATCTGGAGGCAAGGTCAGGATTTTATTTTTATTTCCCCTGTTCTATGGAGAAGGAACCTACTGTTTGGAGCAGTTAGGTGACTTTCCCAAGGTTTCTTGCCCCCAGTGAAGCAAAGTGGTGATTCAAACCCAGGGTGGCTCTTTCCAGCCCACCACACCTCCCAAACAAGTCCCCATCCCTGCCCTTACCTCTTTCTGGGCCACCTGGAAGGGGACAGCCTTGCGCATGTGCTGCCGAGTGATGCCACTCCAGCGGGTACGGTAGTCAGCGATGGGCATCTCAGGCCTGATGTACTTGTCATAGAGGACATTGCCATGGTAGCTCACAATGGAACAGCGGGCCAGCTCGCTTACCCGCCCTCGGGGTCCCGTGCCCACCATCTCACAGTCGATAGCCACACACTTGCTGGGCAAGGGCCCTGAGGCTTTCCCGGGAGCAGGCCTTCTGCTGCATGGGGCACTGCCAGATCCAGCCCTCAGACACTGCTTCCCACTGCTGGCAGCTTCAGTTGCTGTCGCTGCCCCGAAAGGGGTGGGCAGTGGGGAGGACCCTGGTTCTGGAGGCATGCTCAGCAGCCCCTGCTCCTGCAGCAAGGCCTTCCGGGCCATGAACCGCTGGTGCTGTCGGCTCCTTCTCTTGTGCCTCTTCCGAAGCACATCCTTGGCATTTGGGATGGTGAGGGAAGGGCACAGGCACTGAGCAGACTCAGGGGCCTCCCGGGGTACCATTCCAGTCAGCTCACTGCTTGGGGCAAGGGAAGCCTGGGGAGTAATCTTCCAATGGGGCAGCAGCCTGAAGAGAGAACACACAGGCAGAGGGGCTGGGTGAGAGTGTGCCAGGCAGCCCACCCACCCTCCCTCCCTCCCTGCAGTGCACCACGGTGGGGATGCCCGAGAGCCCTGCACCGTAGCTCGTGGCTCCCAGATTGAGTTGAGGACCCATTTCACTAATAAAAGCATTCATACTGTAAACACAGGTGAATCACTGTTGTAAATACTACATGGAATCACTCAGTCTGCTCAATGACCTGAACAAAGTATTATCATCTTCATTTTACAGGTAAGAAACTGAGGCACAGAGGTGAAGAAACTTGCCCCATTAGTAAAAGCCAAAGGCTGGTAGGAACCCAGAATCCACACCCTCAACCTCAAACCATGGCTGAGTCCAATATTGTTAGCAGTGGACTTTTTTTCTGCTGTGATTTTTAGCTAAGAAGCATCAGACTTTGACAGAGGTATGGTTATAGGAAAATAAAGGTTATAGAAACTGTATAGCCTTTTTTAAGAAATACTTTTTTGAAATATGAAGGCACAGATCCTCAGCACAACCTGGAGAAAGAATTTCATAGGAAGCCCGCAGTAACTGAATAGTTGTATTTTTTTGTAATATGATAACCAACTGTAATTTATTTATTTAATTAATTTATTTATTTTGAGATAAGTTCTTGCTCTGTCACCCAGGCTGAAGTGCAGTGGCGTGATCACAGCTCACTGCAGGGCTCAAGTGATCCTCCCACCTCAGCCTCCTGGGTAGCTGGGACTACAGGTACACACAACCACACCTGGCTACTTTTTTTGTATTTTTAGTAGAGATGGGGTTTCATCATGTTGCCCTGCTGGTCTTAAACTGGGCTCAAGTGATCCGCCCACTTCGGCCTCCCAAAGTACTGGGATTATAAGTATGAGCCACCGTGTCCAGCCTTTAAGTGTAATTTCTTTACCTGACGTTGTAATTCATTAATCGCCACAGCATCTAGAAACATTTAAAAGTCCTGATCTGAAGTGCTTGCAGATTTCTGTGATGGGCTCCCACCCAGCGGACTTTAAGCCCTCGTCACTGAATGCTAGGATAAGAGGTGCTGTCGTTCATTGCTGCTACAGGAAATGTCTGATGTTCATGTGAGTTTGCAAAACCCAGCATCTTCCCAACAGCTGAGGCCATAACTTGGAAAGCCTGTCTCATTTGTTATGCCAAGTCAGTCAGTACATTTTTAACAGATCAAACAAACTAGGGCTTTGAAGTCAGGCAGAGCAGGGTTTAACTTGGCATTTTTTGAGGCGGAGTTTCGTTCTCGTTACCCAGGCTAGAGTGCAGTGCCGTGATCTCGGCTCACTGCAACCTCCGCCTCCCGGCTTCAAGCGATTCTCCTGCCTCAGCCTCCTGTGTAGCTGGATTACAGGCATGCACCACCACGCCTGGCTAATTTTTGTATTTTTAATAGAGGTGGCGTTTTGCCATGTTGGACAGGCTGGTCTCAAACTCCTGACCTCAGGTGATCCACCTGCCTTGGCCTCCGAAAGTGCTGGGATTACAGGCGTGGGCCACCATATTCGGCCTAACTCAGCTCTTTGTAAATGACCTAAACTGCTAAGTTTCAGTTTTCAGGCATGTAAAATGATCCTACCACCCCCTCTACTGTGTGAAGAGGAAACGACACAATGTATGCTGGGGTCTTCCTGTATTCTGAACAGTAGGGGCTCAATAACCACTGCTCCTTCTCCCAGAGAGGTTAGACTCTAGCCCGTGGTTGGCAGCCAGCTCTTCTCAGGCCAGAGCAGCCTCCGCCTGGACTCACTGCCCTTTCCCAAGCCACAGCCTCCCTTCCCACTCACAGCCCTCCTGCTCTTTCAGACTCAGCTACTGTTCCGCCACCACCCAGAAGCCCTTCTGGAAGAAACTCTGTCCCACTGGGTTGCACAGGCCAATGCCATACTGAGGCTCTCTCGGGTCTCCACTGTGCCAGATGCTGGGCGGCTGCACAGGTGGATCCTGGACTCCAAGAAGTTTAGTTTCATGGTGGAGACAGAAACCAAGCATAAAGTGTGTTAAGGGCTGAAGCAGAGGTGCTAGGGAGGCAAAACAGGCTGGAGGACAATTCTCTGGAGGCTTCCTGGAAGAGGCTACATCTGTGTGCATGTACAACAGTAACCTTCCAGGTAGAAGGGAGAAGAATCAGTGGCCATGTTAGGGGCAAAGGCCTTAAAAAGGACTAACCCAGGGTGGAGGAAGAGGGCCCACCAGCAGCCTCAAGTCACTGGGGTGTAGAGCATAAGGCGGGTCATGCTGGAGGCACTGCTCCTCGCTCCTCTCTCCTTTGCACCATTTCATCTTCTGTTTCCTACTCTGGTGGCCCTTCCACAAGCCACCCCTACCGCAATCTGGTGTCCCCTGAATTGGTCTCTACTGGCCAAGTGAGTGGGGGAGCCCCAGAGGCACCTATGGAGGTCACTGAAATATCCCACAGTAGCCCTGACTCAGGACACTAAGTCTAGCTGGGGAGCAAAGAAATTCATCCCTCTGTGCTGAGCTCTTATAGCACAATTTGAGAATTATTACACCCTTCAAAGTCCATTGGTACACACAGTCTACCTCAGAGCTGTAAGAAGGCAGGTTAGAGCCTTGATTGTACCTTCCCCAACAGCCAGCCTAGAAGCTAGCATGTGGCAGGTCCTCTTCAGAAGGGTGTAGAAAGAGGTCTGGAGAAGATGAAAACCTGAGCAGTAGCAGCAGAGATTAAGAGAAATGGGAAGGGGATGGGAGGTGAGGTGAAATGCCAGGTTTGATGATGCCAGCATTTGCATAAAGAATCCCCACACTCTAGGGCAGGGCACCGCATCCTGACTTGACTCATCCAGACCTGACCCATCCTGACTCATCCACCCTGCTTGCTCATCCCATCCTTTCCAGGAGAAAAGGTCTCTCTTTTAAAAAGGTCTTAACTGTAACCAACTTCCTCATATTGACAGTCACATCTTAGAACTGACAAATTCAGAACCTTAATCTGCCTCAGCCCAGCAATGGGAGAAAAAAGCCTAAGAAGCCCAATGCCCACCCTGCTAATAACTAATTTGGGAAAGGGGGCTGGCGGATAGTCCCCTCCTTTCTCTGTGAGGGGCTGAGGCTAGGAGTAGGGTGGGTGGCTTTCCTGATCCTACTGGCAAGGTTTTAAAGAAGCCAGAAATTAAGTTATCTGAGAAAAGGTCTCTGTAGCCTCCTATTTCAAGAGAGGAAAGTAGTCCTTTTCCAAACACCCTGACCTTGCTTAAGAGAAGAGAGAAAGAGACCTCCCCCTCATATTGTTCTGTATTATTTTATACTCAGTACCTGTTTTAAGAAGAAACAAGGAAGCAAAACCAAAGGCAGGCAGCCCGGCGCCACGCACCAGACCCAAAACCAGACCCAAAACCAGGCCTGGGCCTGCCTGACCTTAGCCTGATAGTTAAAATTAAACCCATGACCTAGCAACCGATGTTATCCATAGATTTCAGACATTGTATAGAAGGACACTGTGAAATCTCTTGTTCTGTTCTGTTCTGTTTCACTCTGACTACCGGTGCATGCAGTCCCTGTCACATACCCCCTAGATTGCTCAATCAATCATGGCCCTTTCTTGTAAAATCTTTAGTGTTGTGAGTCCTTAAAAGGGACAGAAACTGTGCACTCAACAAGCTCGGATTTTGAGATGCTAGTCTGCCGATGCTTCCAGCTGATTAAAAGCCAATTCCTTCACTACCTCTGTGGGGTTTTGTCCGCGGCTCCTCCTGCTACATGCTGACACGTCAAAACCAACAGTCATCAAGGACACACCTCTTTGGGGACCCAAATGTAGCTCAGTGAAGCTGGAGAGAAGTTCCGCTCAGATAAAACAACCCTTTCAACAAGGACAAACACAAGCCTTTCTCTAGCCTGGACCCAGCGCTCTGGGGGTCAGACACCCGGCCTTCAGGCAGGGAGGGGGTCTGGCCTAAAGAAAGGGTCCCAGCTGCAGAGTCAATGGAGCAAAGGCCCCAAAGGAACCAAGAAGTCAGAATCCTCGGTGGCATGAGAGCCACCAACCTGCTGGCTGATCAAGAGGGCAGAGGGCAGTTCTAGACCCTCCTCTGGCACTAAGTAGCTAGATGATCTGGGGCAAGTCACGTCTCTTCACCATCAACCGAGGGCTGTGAATTAGATAAGGGCTTCCCAAATGTAGTTAATTACCATATGACATCTGATGAAAGGCTGATTTTCAGGCCCACTCCCACACCGTCCTAATTGCTATTTTGGGGAAAGGGGCCTGAGAATCTAGATTTTTAAAAAGAGCGCGGACGACCCCTACCCTCAAGCCACAATTCTGATAATCGCCCAAACCTGAAAAAACCTGGCTCGATAAGGTCCCCTGTGCTGCTAAAAAGTCCACGGAACAACGACAACAACTAAAGTCTGCTATCCTGGCACGACCTCCCCGCCGGCTGGCGTTCTCCCAGGCGTGACGCGTGGGAGGCCTGATCTCACCGGGAAGGACTCGGGCGTTGGTCACTTGCTGGCCGCGGCAGCTGGGCCGAGTCCCAACGACCAGCGCCGCCCCCTCTGGCCCTGGACCCCCGAGCAGAGCGAGGGCTGGAGACAGGCGGCGCCCGGCCTGCTTTTCTGCGGGCCGGTAGGGCAGGGTCAGCCCAGTTCAGGCGTCCCCGCCGCAGGCCGGGGCGGAAACAACGCGCGGGGACCTGCGACCCGGGACACGCGGCCTCAGCCCGCCCGACCCCGCCGCCCCGGTGCAGGGTCCTGGATCTCACCTGAAGCCCCGCGTGTCTCTTCCGGTCTGCACGTGGCGTCCGGAAAGCCGGCAGCTCCCACATGCCCGGGCAAGCCCGGCTCCGACTGCCCGCCTATTGGCTCGCTGGACGGCAGCGCCCGCCCAAGACCTCTTCTGATTGGTCGAGCCTGCCTGGCAGCGGGGAGGCGGGCGAGAGCAGAAGGGGAGGGACTCCTGAAGAGGGCGTAACTCGTGCTGCGAGCCGGCCATACTGGCGGGAAATTTTAAAGAGAAGGGAAGGGAGACTGACCTCCTGTCGTCCCTGCCCGGTCCCATCAGTGTTCCCCGGCTCCAATCCACTCCTCTACCTGGGTCGGGATGTGGGCTCCTGTAAGCCTGGTACCACCAAAGGCCGAATGACTTACTGAGTACACCCACATCTGCAGATTGGGAACATCGGCCCTTACCTCCTCGGGTGTTCTGGGATTCAAGGAAATAATATACACAGTAGGCACTAAAGAGAGACTTTGAAAGTCAGGTTTCCTCCGTCAGCGCTGCTTTTTCATTTATTCTTTTGCAACACTTGACTCCTAAGTATTAAGTTCCTACGTGGGCTTGGCAGTGGGATGCACACAATAAACACATAAGCATCCTGAGTTGTTTATCTAACAGCAGGGAAACAGCAAGGTTAACAGAAAATTCAGTGCAACATGAGGCCGGGGCGCGGTGGCTCACGACTGTAATCCCAGCACTTTGGGAGGCCGAGGCAGGTGATCACCTGAAGTCAGGAGTTTGAGACCAGCCTGACCAACATGAAACCCCATCTCTCCAAAAATACAAAAATTAGCCGGGCGTTGACGGGAGCCTGTAATCCCAGCTACTCGGGAGGCTGAGGCAGGAGAATCGCTTGAGCCCAGAAGGCGGAGGTTGCAGTGAGCCGAGATCGCGCCATTGCACTCCATCCAGCCTGGGCACCAAGAGCAAAACTCCGTCTCAAAAAAAAAGAAAGAAAGAAAGAAAGAAAATTCAGTGTAACATGAGTAATAACAAGAACAATAATAAACAGTTCACACGTATTATGTGAGCACGAATGATGTGCCAGGCAAAATACTCAGTTAATTTGTACAATGACCTTACTATTATTTCAGTTTTACAGTTAAGGAAATTGACACTTAAATTAAGGAGAAACACCTAGAATCCAAAGATCCTTACCTAAGCAGTCTGACTTCTCTTAGTTCACATTTTGCAAGCAGAAGTGATTTGGAAACGTACCTGTGATGAGAAATAAGCTAGGAGCTCTTTCTGATGGGAGTACAAATTTGAGGGAAGCAGGACAAGGGATGAGGTCACAAGAGAGATCAATCCTTTTACCCAGGCCCCTGAAGGCTTTGGGGAGGCAGAGGGATTTAAGCCATAGATAGTTTACCAGTGAATCTGCATTTGAAAAAACTTGTTCTGGCTGCAGCATAGAGAGGAATGGATGAGGACTGGAGAAAGGAGTGGGGGAGTGTTTGTGGAAATTTGGAAGATCATGATGTCCAGAGTGGTGTGGAGGATAAAGAGCTCCCCACCTAAGTAGCATTTGAAATGACAGATTCAAATGCTACTTAGGAGGCAGCGTTGATCAGAGAGCAGAGGGGAAGGGGTTATAGGACAGCGGTCTTCAGGCATGGGGACTGTGGGAGGTAAATCTGGGGCAAGGAGAGTTTTTTTTGTTTTGTTTGTTTTTGTTTTTGAGATGGAGTCTCACTCTGTCACCCAGGCTGGAATGCAGTGGCACAATCTCGGCTCACTGCAACATGTGCCTCCCGGGTTCAAGTAATTTTCCTGCCTCAGCCTCAGGAACAGCTGGGATTACAGGCACGTGCCACCATGCCCAGCTAATTTTTGTATTTTTAGTAGAGATGGGGTTTCACCATGTTGGTCAGGCTGGTCTCGAACTCCCGACCTCGTGATCCACCCACCTTGGCCTCTCAAAGTGCTGGGATTACAGGCGTGAGCCACCACACCCAACCAAGGAGAGTTTTAAGAGAGTCAATATCCAGATCCTCTGCTTCCATGGTGCTGGGCCTCAGAATATGCCTGGGGTCTTTGGGGTTCAGCTTCCCTCTCCTCATGTGTAACCAGCTGTCTCCCACTTTTCAAAGGCAATTCACACTGCACCTGTTCTAAATCTTGCTCTGCTGCATTACCTTGGGAAATAAAAGTCTCCAGGAGAAACAATAGGGCAATTCTAAATAATGTATTAATTATTGTTGAGGACGGGGCAAGAAATCCTTCTACAAGTCAGGTGGTTTCTCATTCTTTGCTTTCACCAAGATCCAAGGAGGATCTAATCATGTTGTTAGGTCATTAAAAACATTTTCTTGAGACCAAGGCTGGAGGACTGCTTGAGGCCAGGAGTTTGAGACCAGCATGGGCAACATAGCAAGATCCTGTCTTCACAAAAATAAATAAATGTGGAGGTGTGTGCCTACAGTCCCAACTACTGGGGAGGCTGAAGTGGGAGGATCCCTTGAGTCCAGGAGTTAGAGGTTACAGTGAGCTATGATTGAGCCACTGCACTCCAGCCTGGGTGACAGAGCCAGACAGACCCTGTCTCCAGTAAACAAATAAATGAATAAATAAATAAATACATGAGTATAGATAATTATCAGGAATTTAAAAGAAGTGGGAGAATTGCCAGACTAAAACCCTTCCCATTTCTCTATGGTTTTAATGTAAACAATGTTTATCAGGCTTACAACTATAAAATCAAAACAACAGACTCACCTCTGTCTCATTCTTACAAAAAGTGATACTCATCTCTGGACTCACAAATTTATGGAAAAATAACTGGCTCAATCCATCTCCTTCAAAGATATATTTTCCATGACATTTTAATGAAGATTAATTAACTTGTATGTTTAAAGATTCTCTCATATAATGAAATGCTATGCATGTATTTTAATCATATGTACTACTAATAATTACAACAACATTTCAATCTAGAAGGAAAAAAAATTAACCCTTAGAACCTCATGGTCACAGAAAATTTTTTAGAGTTAACAAGTTCAAATTTATCTGCATAATTGTGTGACAGAAATGTACAATAGGGTGCTTCATAAAATATTACCAAGCATGAAAATATATTATGCTTGGATAAAACTCCGTAGCAGAAGCTGAAGAAGAAAAAAAGAATGTTGCATATTATGTCAAATAAAAAAACAGACCCAGATTTGATAAAGAGAGATTTTATTTAAAAGGATGATTTTGGGGTGGGGTGAGGGTGGTAAGACTCTGTAAACAGGGAGAACACTCAGGCCATAAATCTACAAACTCTCAAGGGGTAGGCAAAAAGGGATTTTCTTTTATAGGAAGGAGTAAACCAGTCTAGAAAGAACCTGGTGTAGGTAAGTGGGATGAACGAGAGTGACAGGGTGGGGCAGTAGATCAGAGATTGCTTTATCCTGAGGCCAGCCTGTTCTCAAGGGGGCTGTTACAGAGGGATTTCATGCTGGTTTAGGCTGAGGGTGGGCCAAAATTCAGAGGCCTTGGGGAAGGACAAAAGCTTAACCAAAGTTTCATTAATGAGCATTTTTTTCCAGCTGATCAATGGGCCAAGCATTTCAGCTAGTCACTTATGAGGCAAATGGGAATTGGGGCTATCTGTATCCGGTCTAGTAACAGGGTATAGTGGGGAATCGCCATAGAGGGGAATCCATGAGTTTTATCTCAGTCATTGCAGTGAGCCATTTCCAGAACCCGAGAGACGGGGTTGAGGTGGGGTTAGGGGGTAAGGGGTTAATCATTGCTGTTCTCTAGGAGCACAGTGCTTAGGTAAAACTCAACATTGTCATAAATAGTTTTTTCATGTACTTTAAAAATGAAGGCCGGGCGCTGTGGCTCACGCCTGTAATTCCAACACTTTGGGAGGCCAAGGCGGGTGAATCACCTGAGGTCTCAAGTTTGAGACCAGCCTGGCCAACATGGTGAAATCCTGTCTCTACTAAAACACAAAAATTACCTAGGTATGGTCGTGGGCACCTATAATCCCAGCTACTCAGGAGGCTGAGGCATGAGAATCTCCTGCACCCCGGAGATAGAGGTTGCAGCGAGCCAAGATTGCACCACTGCCCTCCAGCCTGGGCAACAGTGCAAGACTCTGTCTCAATAAATAAATAAAGAAGCTAGGCAAGGTGGCACATGCCTGTAGTCCCAGCTACTTTGGAGGCTGAGGTGGGAGGATCACTTGAGAAGGGCAGGAGTTTGAGACCACAGTGCACTATGATTGTGTTACCCTCCAGCCTGGGCAACATAGTGAGACCCCACCTCTACAAAAAATAAATAAATGAAAATGAATAATATTTGTATCAAATCATTATGATATTTAGACTCCATTGCGTTCATTTAATGACGTCTTTTTAAGATGTCCATATTAACAGATGCTCTGTGACTTAACAATGAGGCCATGTCCGGATAAACCCACTATAATTCACAAGTTGAAAATGCACTTAATACATCTAACCTACCAAACGTCTATAGCTTAGCCTGACATACCTTAGATGTACTTACAACATTTACATTGGCCTACAGTTGGGCAAAATCATCTAACACAAATGTTATAATAAAGTACTGAACATGTCACATAATTTATTCACGACTGTACTGAAAATAAAAAACAGAATGTATGGACACTTGAAGTAAGGTTTCTACTAAATGTGTATTGCTTTTGCACTATTGTAAAGTTGAAAAATGTTAAATTGAGCCATTGTAGGTCAGGGACCATCTATACTTACATTTATCATAAAAAAATTGCTAAGTAAAAAAACTTGATGTCCCAGGTATTCAGTAAGGGTGGTCTCACACTGTCATCTTGACTGTGGATGGTAATACCCATACCCCTTCTTTCTTAGGGAAACCACTAAACTCACCCTCCAACTTCTGCTAGCTGTGTGACTTTTGGCAAGGCTCTTGACCTTGCTGAACCAAGTCAGCCCTTCCCTTCTACCCAGAGGCTGCCCCTGGATTGAATAAAAATATTCCCTCCTAGGCCAGGTGCGGTGGCTCACGCCTGTAATCCCAACACTTTGGGAAGCAGAGGCTGGTGGATCACAAGTTCAGAAGTTGAAGACCACCCTGACCAACACGGTGAAACTCCATCTCTACTAAAAATACAAAAATTAGACGGGCATGGTGACACTTGCCTGTAATCCTAGCTACTCAGAAGGCTGAGGAAGGAGAATCATTTGAACCCGGGAGGCAGAGGTTGCAGTGAGCCGAGATGGCGCCACTGCACTTCAGCCTGGATGACAGAGCAAGGCTCCATCTTGAAGAAAAAAAAACAAAAAACGCCTCCTTCCACAAAGACGAGGGCTCCTTTATAACAGAGCTTGTTTAGGCTGGGGCCTGGTGGGGAAAAACCCATGATCCAAGCTCTGACTTCAAGGACCCCATCATTTCCCCCTCCGCATTTTCAATCTGAAAACACTTGAGACAGGACTTGACCTGTTTTGCATTTACAAATCATTATGCTACAGTCAGAGTGCCATTCTGCCTGCCCTGTGTACTCATTCTGAGGACTTTTTGGGGGTACTGTGGGGATCCCCATGGTGCTGGGCCAGGTGCAGACTTGAAAGAGAGTGTTGATCTGCTCAATTTTTAGAGCAATTGTTCTCCACGTGTCGTCCTAGCCCAGCAGCATGGGCATTTACCTGGGAGTTTGTTGGACCTACTGAATCAGAAAATCAGGCTGTGGGGCCCAGAAAGTCAGGGGATGAGGCCCAGAAAGTCAAGGGGTAGGATTAAGAAAATTAGGGGGTGGGGCCCAGCATTTTAACAAGCTGATGAAATAGCTAATCCTGAGGCATGCCGAAGTTTAGGATCCATTGTGTTGGAGAGTATGAAGCTGACGACATTCCCAGTGCTAAATGTGAATAAGGTACTTGTTTTATGCACGCAGCTCCCCGCCTCTTAGCTCTCTTGATCCAGCAGCAGCTGGACTTTGGACCTACCAGGACACAGCCTGGCACCAAGACAATTAAGGTACCTTTGTACCCTCCCCCAACTCCTGAGAATGTCCGGGATTCTCAGGCCCAGGCTAAGTGTCACACGGCTAATTTTTTAATGGAAGACTGGAGGGATTTGATCGAGGGGAGTTTTATTCTCTGCCGTTCCTTGCTCCATTCTAGACTAGAGTTCCCTCACATATAAAATTAATCCTTCATTCAGTGGTCCCCAGCCTTGACTCAACATGCTGAACTTGAAAAAACACAGACGAGGCCGGGCGCGGTGGCTCACGCCTGTAATCCCAGCACTTTGGGAGGCCGAGGTGGGCGGATCACGAGGTCAGCAGATCGAGACCATCTGGCTAGCACAGTGAAACCCTTTCTCTACTAAAAATACAAAAAAATTTGGCCGGGCGTGGTGGCGGGCGCCTGTAGTCCCAGCTGTTCGGGAGGCTGAGGCGGTAGAATGGCGTGAACCCGAGATCGCGCCACTGCACTCCAGCCTGGGCGACAGAGCGAGACTCCATCTCACAAAACAAAACAAAACAACAACAACAACAACAACAAAAAAGCACCACAGACGCTTGGGTCACACCCCACCCCAAGATTCTGATTTAACTGGTCTGGGGTGGGGCCTGAACAGGAAGGTTTTTAAATCTCCCCAGGTGTTAGTAGTTTGTCGCTGAGACTGACAATTGCCGCTAAAGTGGAGTTACCTAAAGCTTCCAGCAGAGGACGCTGCCTCTCTGCTCATCCAGGGAAACGTGAGCCGGGAAACCTGACAGCTGCAGTTGCGATGGGTGGGGCTGGAAATCAGGCTGTTTCGTAAACCCGGTTGATGCAGTTAAGGCGACGGGCCAGATGCCGTGACCCTTGTATCGCCGAGGTTTTTGTGTTGAGACTCCAATAAAGTTACCTTAAAAAGTAGTAAGTTAGGGCCAGGCGCTGTGACTTACGCTGTAATTTCAGCATTTGGGGAAGCCAAGGTGGTAGGATCACCTGAGCCCAGGAGTTTAAGACCAGCCTGAGCAACACAGGGAGACTCCGTCTCTACAAAAAATACTGTAATTAGCCAGGGTGTGGTGGTGGGTGTCTGTAGTCTCATCTGATCGGGAGGCTGAGGGAGGAGAATTGCTTGAGCCCAGGAGGTTGGGGTTGCATTGAGCCGAGATCACACCACTGCACTCTAGACTGGGTGACAAAGCCAGACCCCATTTCAATAAATAAATAAATAAATAAAAACAGTAGTAAATTGTCTATTTTGCTGAGTGACCAAGAGATAAGTCACAACCTCTGCAGGCCCTGATTTCAGCATTTTTAAAGTGGGGAGGGACTTGGTCTATATTCATTCTTTCAATATATATTGAGTCCCCTGAAATGGGCAAGATACTGATCTGGAAGGGGAAGGATACATATTTAAATAGGATTAAATTCCTACATGATAGGGGAGACTAATAGAAAGATGGTGGTTTCCATTTTTTCCTATTTCAGGATGGCAGATTTGTGGGTGCACAAGGCTGGTGAAGAGGACAACCATGAAAACTATGAAAGAAAAGGCAGAAGAGACCAATATTGGGTATATACCCATGCTATTTTATATTATGACACTTCACTTGCCTACTTATCGTAATAACCTAGCAAGGTAGATGTGATCAATTCTGTTTCACAGTTGAGGAATCTGAGACTCAGAGATGTTAAGTGACTGACTCAAAGTCACACAGCTCGTAAGCAGTGGAGCCAAGATTGAAACTGGCACATGTTTGACTTCAGAGCCAGGACTCCCCCCACCACTTAACAAAGGCTGTCATATCCATCCCTCAAATCAGGAATGCACCCCACATCCCCCCCCGAGATGCTTGTTTCACTGAGACACAATCTCTCCCCGTTCCATCTCCAAACCAGCCCCAGAGGCTGAGGGCTGCCCAGGAGAGACTCAACTCCCCTCCTCTCCTGTTCTCCAGCTCTGCCCTTCCTGCCCAATCTGGGCTTCTCTCCCGCTGTGAAGGACAGATACCTGCTGAGTGACACCAATTTGCAGACTTCTGAAGTGTAAATGAGATTTCTAATAGGACTGGCTTCCCACTGGCTTCAGGCAGGGTTAGGAGTAAAGGGAAATTTAAGACTGGAAGTGCAGAAGAAGAGAGCCAGTTTGTAGGATAGGGAGCAGCAGAAGCAGAGGCAGCCAAAGTCTCTGGGTAGAAGTGAAGGGCTGACTTGGTTCAGAGAGGTCAAGTGCCTTGCCAGAGGTCACACAGCTAGCAACCGGAAGAGGTAGAATGAGCTCAGCTAATGGTTGCATTTTTAGCATTCCCTAAATGAGTACGATCCCCAACCCCCAACTTTAGTTTGTAATATGCTTTAGTCTCCTCTGCTGTATGGATGGAGGAGGGTGGGAATATACTTAGGAATAGGGAGGGCATTTGGATTTGTTGCTTGAAAATTAATCTCCACTGAAAGTGTCATCACTGTAACTTGGTGCTCACCTTAGGGCAAGGTACCCCCCAGGCAGAGGGATCCCAGGCAGAAAGGCTGGGAGGCCAGGCAAGGTGGCTGATGCCTATACTCCCAGCACTTTGGGAGACCGAGGTGGGCAGATCCCCTGACGTCACGAGTTCGAGACCAGCCTGACCAACATAGCAAACCCCTCTCTCTACCAAAAATACAAAAAATTAGCTGAGTTGGTGGCATTCACCTGTAATCCCAGCTAGTCGGGAGGCTGAGGCACAAGAATCACTTGAACCCAGGAGGTGGAGGTTGCAGTGAGTCAGGACTGTACCACTGCACTCCAGCCTGGGACAGAGTGAGACTCTGTCTCAAAAATAAATAAATAAATAAATAAATAAATAAATAAATAAATAAATAAAAGGCTGGGAAATGCTTTTTCTGATCACTAATTCTAATTGTATTCCTGCCACAGTGGGGGATGGTCCCCAAGCACTGGGCTTTTTTCCCTTGGCCACACCTCTGGATGTAGCAGCACAGAGGCAGGTACTGGGACCAAGAAATTCCATACACACAAGTCCACTCCCTCAGCTGTGGAGCAGGCACCAGACAAGCTCCGAGGTCAGGTGTGTCCCCCCTGCTGCCAGGTACACTGAACATCCGGGAACCTCGGTCTCCAGTGCATACCTCTCGGTGCCCGCATACACTGTGGCTGTCGGGCCACAGACAATGAGGCCCTGAGCCCCAGGATGTGGAGTCACAAGGTGCCTCCATTATAGGTGCCCCAAAGTGATTGTTGGGGGAATTAGTAATTAAGGAGGGTTTTTCTCCCCCTGCCCTTCAGGTAGTGGTATGGAAGCAGTCCACTGCTCCCTGAAAACAGAGACCCTGCCCCACTTCCCTGCTCACACCATAGTTTGTCCATGTTTCTGGAAGAGTCTGCCGATGGGTGTTTAGGGTGGTGACCTGAGATGTTTTCTAGGAAACACAAAAGATACAAAAAAGAACACGTGGAAGGATAGCCAAAAAGGGGGGCTGCCCCCATTTCCTGCACCCCGCTGCGATGGCTGGCACCATTAGGTAGACTGGGATTTGTTGTTGAGCGCAGTAAGACAACAACAAAATCACTAGTCTTCCAGATGGGGCCAGCCGGTCCACTCTGTATCCAGGCCAGTTCTGCAAGGCGTTCGAGGACCACCCCCCTCCCCTCGCCACCAGGTCAGCGGTCTGGATGCTCCTTCAGGCGAGGCGTTGTCTCCGCTCCTATTACTAAGTTCATCTTTGAACACCTCTCCTCACCTCAGAATTCCCTGGAGAAATTATTTTTTCTTACTTTTCCCTTTTTTCTGGAGTGTTCTACTTTCTATAATGGACACAGTTGTTTTGTTTTGTTTTGGTGAGACAGGGTCTTGCTCTGTCACCCAGGCTGTAGTGCAGTGGTGCAATCACAGCTCACTCCAGCTTCAACCTTCCAGACTCGAGTGTTCAAGTGATTCTTCCACCTCAGCCTCCCTAGTAGCTGAGACTACAGCTAATTTTTTTTTTTTTTTTTTTTTTTTTAGTAAAGACAAGGTCTCAGTATATTGCCCAGGCTGGTCTTGAACTCCTGGGCTCAAGTGATCCTCCTGCCTCAGCCTCTCAAAGTGCTGGGATTATAGACGTGAGCCACTGCACCCAATTTGAGCATATTTCCTTTACAAACAGGGGAATTATTTTTAAAGAGAAGCAGGCAAGTGGCTCATTTCTCTCTTTCCTTTACTAATCATAAAGCATTGAACCACCATGCAGAAGAGAAACTAGAGCTTGGAAATGGTGACCCCTCTCTACTGGTGCCTCCCCCTTCTGGAAGCCTATGGGCATGGCCCATGGTGAAAATTCTTCCTGTGGTTACTGAGCCCTGGAAGCTTCAGAATGAAGTCAGAGTGGTGGTGCTGGGGTAAGCAGAGCAGGAAGAGGAAAAGGGGAAATGGTTGTGGACAGGAGGCTGGTGGAATCCTGGCCCAGTCATCCCCTCCCTGCAGGCACAGCGCTGGGCTCCCTGGTTAATTTCCCTTGCAGTGTGGCACTGGTGGAGGAGAGGCAAAGCCCCTGCTGCCTGGGCCAGCCTCTAATTGCGCTGGCAGGACACATCCGCTCCTTAATTAGCAAAAGCCACAATATCCTGGCGGCTCAGAGAGCATGGCCCTAATTGTATTTCTGCAGCAACTGAAGGATAATTACCCTTCCCTATTGGTGCTGCTTTTAATTCTTTCTCTTTTTAATTGTGAGCACTTCCTCTTTAGCCCACCCTTCCATCCTTGGGTTTATTCTCTCTATCCAGAATGGGGGTGGGGGCTTGCCTGGTGATGGAGACGCTCAGGAGCAGGAGGAGTGGGGGGAGTCATGGAGAAGACTGGCAATACCTAGCTCTGAGTCCCAGCCCCTTCCAGCTGTCAGCCTGAGACAGGGCACATCTCTGCCATGGGTCTGAGAAAAACCAAGAAGTTCTTTTGTGGAAGATGTAAGGGAGAGGTGTTCCTCCCCCAGAGGCTCTTTATGACCCTCTTCAGTCTACCCCGCAGTGAGGTGCTGGCTCTGAAATTCCCAGCTGTAGAAAACTGAGACCTCCTTTCCCCATCCTTTAATCTATCAAGAAACAGAGATGGATGTGTGGTCTTTAATTTCTTTTACAAAAAAAAAAAAAAAATAGCCCCGTGCCTCTTTGCCACTGTTGAGAGGAGGGTTAGTCCTTCAACCTTGAATTGTTTTAGAGACAAGGACCTGAGGGTACCATTAGAGAACAATGCTAACTAAGGTAACCCCTTGGTTAATAGGAGAGCTTAGCACCCTAGGTATTTCTAGGAAAAACAGGCCTTTCTTAGGGACCTGGCAAATAAACTTTGAGAAGTAATAGACAAGCTAAAATGCACCACAAAGAGAGTTTGGAGAGAACCACAGCATCTCTCTGGATGTCAGCTTGCAGGACTGACTGATCTAGCTTACATGAGCAACCCTGGCCCTAAAGCCACCACCCAAACCACTGCCCTGCTAGAAGCTCACTATGAGAGCAGGGACTCTCACTCATTATTCTTCCAAGTGCCTCGCGCACAGCCTGGCCCGTGATAAATGAAACTGGTTGGCAAAGAAGCAGAGTTCAGAGACAGAGTAGGATTGTGAGGTGTGAACAGGGTAAATCCATTTTCATTGGCTTTTTCCTTACAGATCCAATGAAGATGAATTTGAACTGATTGTGGCCCTAGTTTTCAAAATTCTTTAATTCTGGGCTCTATCTGAATTGGGAGAAGATGCAAGCAATAAAAGAGGCTGCTGTAGTCTCAAAGAAATATATTTTGAAAAAATGACCTGCCCTTGAGCCCACCAACTTCCACTCCCCACTTCTAATTTCTTTCCTCTGAATTTAGAGCTGTTCCCTTAGCAACGCTTGTTTCCATGGTTTCCTCCATGACAATGATCCCAAACCCCTCCTCTCTTTTACCTCATGACAGTAATGGATGATGGGGATCCTCAATGTGGCCACTCCATGTTACCATGGTAACAATTAACTGAGCCTTAATTTATCTTTTGTGAAGAGGGCTAGGGAATATGAAGCTTTTGATTTGGAGGGGGAGGGTCCAGGTCTAGAGCTACCATTCTCATAAAGAAGAAGATAAGCTATTTGTCTTAATACTAGCCAGTAGGATTTAGTTCAAACATTTGTTCAGCCCTACTTTAAGCACAACTGAGTTTGAGGGAATCAAAGGGGTACAAGACATAGCTCCTAATATTGAAGGGCTAATAGTCTAGCACTAGGGCTCATGGTACCGCTGAACTCTGGCACAGATGGGGCCAATAAAGAATATGGCTCTTGATAGCACCGTGATGATCAGGCATCTATCCATTCCCAGTATCCCCTCCTGCCAAGAACCAAAAAAAGACTGACTGAAGTGGTCTGTACTCACATTAAGACTTCTTCCGGGCTGTTATCAGAGAGTTTCTGTCCTGAAAGGGAAAGAACTTTGACTTCCCCTCTTTTAGGGAAGTGGGGACCAATGCCAGCATCCCTGAGTAGGACTATTTGGTGCAGGAAAAAAGAGAAAAATAAACAGACCTGCCCATTGCCAGTGCAACAAAGGACTGGGATAATCTCCAGTTCCAGGATAACCATCACCTACCTGCAACAAGTCTTCCTGGGAAGCGATGAGTCAGCTCTTACATTGAATTAAAGAGTCATTGTCTCCATCCATTCAGCTTTTCTATTTGTCACTGAAAATTCAGGCCAAAAGCGCAGCTCTGAAGAATGAAAGTGGAAAAACAGACAAATAAAAATCAAAGTGAAGAGGACACCAAACACCAAACACAAAACACCAAAGCTGAGAGCTGAGTAGAGTGAATCCACAAGCTGAGATATCCATTCTGCATCACAAGCAATGCAGTTCTTCCGACTTCTAGCTTTCCATCTTCATCTCCAAAAGTTTTCACCAAATCTCTAATAATGAGGACCAATTATCTATTTTTAGGGGAAATCACAAAATTCTCTGGACCCTCAGTGTGCTGGTAACAATAACCTGCACTGACTTGGAAAGATGATCACAGTATCTCCTAAAATGAAGGGGGAAAAAAGCCATAGGACAATGTATAAGGCAGGTATGTTGAAGTAAGCTGCGAATAGGTAGGTAAAAAATGTCATCCTTGCAAGTCAGTGCAATCTGGATTAGCCAAAGTCAATTCCAGATCCTGAGTCCAGGACTCTGAGTTCTGTCCTTTGCTACTGGATGGAACTAAGGCAGATTCAATCCTTCTGTGTACCCTGCTCACTCAGCTAGTCAGAAAAGGATAAATGGCATCCTCTTATTGGTTGACAAGGCAATACACACCAACCAATGAAAGAATGCTTCTTCCTTTCCAGCCAATAAGAGCTCAGTTATCTTCTTGAAAGTAGACCCTTTGTCCATAAAGAAAATAAGCAGAAAGTGAATAATAATTAAAAAAAACCACACAACTGTTGCTATGGGACATTACTGATGTGATCAATGATAGCTGCCCCGGACAATTCATAAAGGAAAGCACTTCTTTGGGAAGAAAAGTACAAAAAGCAGACCAGCTGTCTGGTCTGGTCTAAAGGGAAGTTTCTATAGTAACATGGGAGAGAAAAGCATTTTAAAAGCATTTTAATGTAAATACCCGCAAAACTATCAAGTCAGTTCACCGAGCGAATTTTTGACCTTTTAAACTTATGCTGAAATTATAATGAATAAAAATTCTTATATTAATAATAAATGAAGGAAATGGAGAGAAAAGAAGAGAACAAGAGGAGAAAAGAAAAGACCTGTGTGTTTATGGTTCAGGGCATCACAGATAAAGATATCACAGTTCCTGCCTGAAACAGAAATGTTCTCCAACCCCGTGTTGTCAAGTAATATCTCAGTTTAAAACAAACTTCTTTTTGTTGTTGTTATTGTTGCTGTTTTTCGGGAAAGAGAACGTTCATGGCACTTAGACTTATTTGAGATGAAACAGTGCACAGAGCACAGGCTGTTCTGGTAACTTGCTAGCGATTTCCTCTCAAATCATTCTGAGAATGTTACAGCTGCCTTTGGAAAATTATGAGTAAAATAATTTCCTACCCAGATGTTTCTAATGGACATAGGCAGGGCAAGGCTGACAGGTGAAAGTGGAGTCAATGTTTGTCAATCAAGGGAAACAGAAAAACTCAGAGGATTAGAAGCTTTAGGTGCTGTATTTGCTAATTATGAAGGCGATGCTGGGGAGGAAGAAGAGAAGAGAATCTTGAGGAATCAAATGAGAGTGATGCTAGTGTCCATCTGCTAAGGGAGACACGTTTCCCTCTACCTGTGCTTTCTATGTGGTCTATGGGGCAAGGTGAGAAGTGGGGGTAATCCAGAATTCAGCCCTCTCTCCCCTGAGGGGAGTGGTTTAGTGGGGCAGGGATGACTATCAAACCAGGGAGAAAGTTTCTCTCTACAGTAGACACCCCTGGACAATTTCCTTGTCTCCCTCCTGTACATCCAGGAAAAGCAATTTTTTTTTCTCATTTTAAGGGGGAAAAAGAGAGGGTGGGGATAGGAACTCAGCTCCTTCAGTATAAAGGACTAAATGAAAAATATAAAAGCCCAAATTGTAAATCCTGGAGAAATGAAGCCATGGGGTGGAGGGGGGAGGGGATGACTGTAGTGGTGGAAAGGTAAGTTGCTCTGCTATGCGCCTTTACTTAAAATAAAAACAAACAAACAAAAAACAAACATCTTCCAGGATTTCCCCAGACGGGGCCTTACGCGGGATCGATGTGCCTCTCACCTAGCCCAGACAAGGCAGGGGCTCCCCAGGAGATATTTTAAATAGTCAAGGTGCTCACTGATTATCAGTGGCCAAAGCCCCGCCACCCACCGTAACCAAGGCAACAGGAGGCAGGTGCTGCGACTGGTTGCCTGGTAAGCATGCTAGTGCCAAGTCCTTTCCCTTCCTTCTCCACCTCCGTTAGCCCTTTTGTGATAGCGCCTCTCCCTCCGCTATCTTTCCCCTTCTTGGCCAAACAATAATCTTTGCTCCTCATACAAAGGTCACTTTGGGCTCCTTTGGGTAAAAAAACGCGTACCTTGATGTTCTTTTTGAACAGATTTCATCCACGCTTGAGTTTTGAGACCTAGATAAAATGTGCTTCTTACCTCGGCTTCAATATCTTCTCCCTCCACCCCACTCTTTCCCTTTCACTCACTCCTATTAAGGCATACAGAGAGCGCGGGGAGGAAGGAAGGAAGGGAAAAAGGAAGGGGGAGAGAGCGAGAGGGAGCACGGGGGAGCGCAGGATTTAAATGTGGCGATTTTTCACGGAACACCAGAGCCTGGGGCTCACAGTAGATCCTCTGTCCCGCTTGCCCCTTTGCTCACCGCCTGCAATCGTGCCTCTGCTCCCCGCACCACTGCCTAAATTTGGCGCCAAGTTTTTCCACTGGTCGTGGCCAGAGCGAGAGAGAATGCTCTCCTAGAATCCCACACCTAAATCCCTGGAGAAATGAGGAAGATGAGTCCCGCTTTCTTCCGCGAACCTGTGTCACCTCCTGACCTCCTCCGCGTGGGGTCTGAGGGGCCGCGAGCGCAAGTGGCGTGGGCTGGGAGGCCGAGCCGTGCGCAGGCACCGACCATGGGCACCCTAGGGCCGGGGCGCTGTCCAGCCTCTGGTGCTGAAGCTGCAGGCTCGGATTCGCTGGGGGAGGGGCTCCAGGGACCTTTAGCAGCCTGATTCTGAGCCGACTCCAAGCGGGTAGCGACTCGAAGGAGAGGCGCTTGGTCTGCCGAGTGGAAAGGCTACACTGGGAAGTAACGGCATTAGGCGCTCTCTTTCAGCAGATAGGGCTCTCCCAGGGCGCAATCCCCGGCGCCTCTGATTCCCCTCCCTGGAGTTATTTGCTGCAATTGCGGTGGGTAGGAAGAAAGGCCCTTTGCACTGGGGCGATTACCCAGTGGTCTCCTGGTACTTTTCACATTTTTTCCTGCGGCTCTGGGCTCTCTGGGTGCTGGCCAGCCTGGCGCTCAGATCTGGTGGCAGGCAAAGCAAAGAGGAGAGGCTTGGAACGCCGAACCCAGCTGCTCTTCTGCATGCAACAAGTCAGCTGCATCTAGAATCAGGGGCGAGAAGCGCGGGAGGAGGGGCGACGGCGGGCTTGGGGCGGCTGGGTTGCGAGAGCCGGCTCCCGCGAGGCTGTGGGGCCGTCTTTCTCCTACTGGGCGCGGGACCGAGCGAAACAAACTGCAAGCTGGGTTTCCGCGTCGCCCCGGGCAGGTACTGGAACCAGACGCCCCCACACCTCTAGCCTGCCCAGCATCCCGTAGGAGCGCTCACCTGCTGGGCTCCGGAGTCGCCTTCCTTCCTCTTCATTTTGGCAAGGCACATTTGGCGGGTGCCAAGCCTGGCCGCTCGCTTCTCCGGCCCTCCAGAGCAGCCTCAGGCTTAGCTTCCCGAATATCAGCTCCAGTTGGCTGCTTCTCCAGTCCCGAGCCCTTGACCTGGAGGAGGGGACGGGACCGGGGACCTCGGCTGGGATTTTTACCTGGCATGGGTCGCCGCGGCTAGGGAGGAAGACCACTTGCTCTCCGTTTCTTTCTGGAAGAAAGCCCCTCACCACCCAGCTGCCGGTACTTTGCTTCCCCCCAGGAGCCGCAGTGCAAGTAGCAGCGCAGTGCGGGGGAGGGGGTGGGGTTTGAGGAAGCTGTTTGTGAAGTGCCCCTTGAATACTTGCCTCTCTGAGGCCATCAGTCCTGTCCGGGTCCGTAGTCCTGGCATGGTCCGCCGGGTGCAAACACAGTCGCCGCGGCTGCCGGGCCAGAGGAGAACAGCTGCTTTAAAGCTGAGACCAACCCACGGGTGGCCTGTCAGGGCCACGGATGTTCATGACGTCATCCTGAAGGCGAGCGGAGAAAGCGAGTGGAGAGGGGGGAGCCGCGCTTCACATCAAATGTCCCCTGTGGCCATGGCAACAGCTTTGGGGGAGGGGGTGCCGGTCCGCGGGCCAGCAGCGGGCAGCCTGCGACTCCTGCCAGGGTCCAGCGCTCCGCTGGGGTAGAGTCCGTCATTAGTGCTGAATCCAGTTGTGCCCGGACCAGAAGAGACACCAGAGCCAGTCCCGTCCCCTCCCCGGGCTGGTCATAGCAGGTGGGTGGCTGCCTGGTCCCAGAGAAGAGGCTGGGGGAGACTGCAGGCGTCTGGAGACCAATTAGCAGAAATTTTTTTTTCACAGGGCCATTTCCTATTCTTCCACCACCTTACCTGGGCAGGTCAGACCCGGTTCACCTGACCGCTCACAGACGTATTCTCACTCACTCTCGACCGACGCATGCTGGAGCAGAGCACACCCAGGCAGCGCCCAAGCGGGACTCACCCACCTGCCCGGGTCCTCGCCTGCACACACGACAAACTGAGGCTTCAAAGCAGCCTTGAGAGCTTCAGAACATGACAAACCCACTACTGATCCAGTGCGCATCTAGGGGGCGCAAACTGGTGACCAACGAACCAGACAGGACACAAAAATGTTTGTGAGGCTCCCACAGTATTTTAAAAATTTGAAGTACTTGTCAAAAAGATTGGAAGAGTTCACAGAGAAATCTGGGTTTTCCATCTCTCTCTCCCTCTCTCTAAAACAATATCCATGTCATGGCCTTTCCATGTCTCTTGAATAGGGGCTGGCATTCTGCATGCAGGGAGAAGCCCTGACCAGTGTACACAGGGCTGGGGTCCAGGCAAAAGTAGCCCCTCTTCCCCTTTTTGTCAATATCACCAAGCCCATTTATCATCAATCTTATCCTTTTACGTTGTTTTCCTATAGTAAAGAGGAAAGTGTGGCCAAGAGCAGTGTCTCACGCCTGTAATCCAGGCATTTTAAGAGGTGGAGGTGGGAAGATCATTTGAGCCCAGGAGTTCAAGACCAGCCTAGGCAACACAGTGAGACCCCCATCTCAAAAAAAAAAAAAAAAAAAAGGAAAGTAAAATTGTTTTTTGTCTCCGGTTGGTTCCCTGCAGGCCCAACCCTGGACGGACACACAAATATCTGTGCTGCCCACATCCAGCCAACACAGGCAGCAGGATATTTCCTCCTAGTCAGACTGGTGAGTTTTTATTTTTCATTTTCATATTTCAAAATATGCAGGTATTTGAGAAACATTTTAAAAATCATATTTTTCATTTATCACTCAGATATTGGATCACATGGAACTTTCTTTACATTTTTAAATGTAAGGAATAATATCTTATTCATAAATATGTGGAAAAATAACAGAAGAAAACATTTTAATTACTCTCAGACTCACCCATTATTATGTAAACATAACACTGTTTTGCATTTTCTGGTTGGCAGTCTGAATACAGCTGTAAAATACATTCTTGTGAATGCAACGAGCCAACCAACATACAAGTAAAAAGCACCACCAACAGGGACATATAGTTGAGTCTTATGCATACTCTGTCACACAGTCACATTTACGAGTTCATTCATTAAATGTGCATTTTGAATACTGTACATGCAAAAATATGGAAGGCGGGGTTATCCTTTTTTTTTTTTTTTTTTTTGAGACGGAGTCTCACTCTGTCGCCCAGGCTGGAGTGCAGTGGTGCGATCTCGGCTCATTGCAAGCTCCGCCTCCCGGGTTCACGAGATTCTCCTGCCTCAGCCTCCAGAGTAGCTGGGACTACAGGCGCCCGCCACCACGCCCGGCTAATTTTTTGTATTTTTAGTATAGATAGGGCTTCACTGTGTTACCCAGGATGGTCTTGATCTCCTGACTTTGTGATCCGCCTGCTTCGGCCTCCCAAAAGTGCTGGGATTACAGGCATGAGCCACTGCGCACGGCCAGAAGTGGGGTATCTTCTTTTTCCATTAGCAGTAGATTTCCCCCTAAGGAAAAACAGGTTCTTATTTATATGCACTTGCTCTCTTAGCCAAGTGTCTGAAAAATTTTGGTTGAAAGCCAGGGTAACTTTGTACTAGATCAACTCCAAATCTTGGCCAACATGGATTGTTTTAGCCTGTTCAGAAAAATTAGGGCAGAGAAAAGATTCTGCATTTATCTCTTGGTGAAAATCTGTTTGGTCTTTGGCCTGACTGGCTCCTTAACACAGGACATTTTTCTTGCAACCGTTCCATTTGTGAATCTTAGCGCTCTAGGCCCTAGAGGGAGTGTAAGTAATACTATTAATGCTCTATTCGTTATCTTTATAAAGCACTTCTAATTTTTCACTGAGTATTTTACATGATGTATCTCATTTGATTCTAGAAGCTGACCATTTTATAGATAAAGAAGCAGAGCTCAGACTGTTTAATTCACCTTGAGTTCCCAGTGCTCCTTCTGCTGGAAAGACCCACTGTCTCCCTTATATGAGTCATCAAAATTATTTAGTAAATAGTTAAGAGAGTTAGCTGGGTATGGTGGTATGCACCTGTAGTCCCAGCTACTCAGAAGGCTGAGGTGGGAGGATCACTTGGGCCAAGGAGTTCAAGGCTGTAGTGAGCTATGATTGTGCCACTACACTCCAGCCTGGGCAACAAAGAACTTATTTTTACACACACACACACACACACACACACACACACACACACGCACCCCGAAAACAAAAAATAAATGAACAGTTAAACAGAAAATTTAACAAAGTTAAACAAACAATTGGAATTTTTCTGCTTTATTTAAAATAGAAATGTAAATTATAAAATGTGGAGTACCATTTTCCACATACTGAATTAACAAAAAATTTAAAAACCTACTTCCCAGTGTTGGAGAGGGTATGGTGAAATAAGTACTCATACCCTGTGGAGGTTGCAAGTTGGTTAAATTCACTGGAAAGCAATTTTGCAAGTTGTATCAAGGGTCATAGTGACCAGCCTGGGCAATACAGCAGGACCCTGTCTCTACAAAAAAAAAAAAAAAAAAAAAAAGTCATAAACACAAATACGTTCACACCCTTTGGACCAGTTTTTCTTTGGGATATCTTAATAAAATAATCTTGGGCTGCTGCAGTGGCTCACGCCTGTAATCACAGCACTTTGGAAGGCCGAGACAGATGGATCACCTGAGGTCGGGAGTTCAAGACCAGCCTGACCAACATGGAGAAACCCCGTCTCTACTAAAAATACAAAATTAGCAGGGCGTGGTGGCACATGCCTGTAATCCCAGCTACTTGGGAGGCTGAGGCAGGAGAATCACTTGAACCCGAGAGGCAGAGGTTGCAGTGAGCCAAGATGGCACCATTGTACTCCAGCCTGGGCAACAAGAGGGAAACTCTGTCTCAAATAAATAAAATAATATTCAATACAGAAAATGTTAGATACATAAAGGTGTCCATTGTCACATTGTTTAATATTTTTTAAAATGGAAGCAACATAATATCCAACAATAGGAGACTGGCACATCATCTGTTGAATGGATAGAATATTCTACCAACTCTAAAATTAATGTTTTTGCTGAAACATGAGCCAAGAAAATACTCATAATGTTAAGGAAGGAAATTAGCAGAACATAGAACTGTCTTTACAGATATCATTAAAGTAAGGTCTTTAGAAAGCACATATATAGAAAAAATAGAACAGAAGTACATCAAAGTATGATAAAGTTTCTGTTAAAGAGATCACAGGTGGCTTTTAAATGTTTTCTTTTTATCATGTTTTCCAAATTTTCTGAAACATGATTAGGTAGTTTCTATAATTAAAATATAGTATGATACAAATATGGGAGTAGATGGTATTTATTAGGCATCTATTCCTTATCTGGCACTGTTCCAGATGGGCATAATCAGAGCAGGTGTGGAGCCTGGGTCTCAGACCTGTGCAGGTTGCTGCAGATCTTGCCTGGGGTATTAGGTGACCATGAGAGAGTTTGACCTTATCTGTAAAGAGCTGATAAGAGGCATTTGGTTTTTACTCAACTCAGATACATCATCAGCCCAGCTGCCCTTGTCCTCCTCCTCAATAAGCTTGCTTCTGTTCCTGGTATCTACTTTCTGGCCACTTCCTTCCACACCTCAAATAATAATCAAAACAATAATAATATTTCTTTTACATTTTTAATAGTACTTCACATTTTTCAATGCTCTCCAACACAATGTTTTACATAACTTTATAGCAACTACTACCAAAAAACCCCCCTTAAATTTAATTATCACAGCTCTGTGAGATAGGTGTTATTTTCTCCAGGTTTGTTTATTCTTTAGGTGCCGTGCCAGAAGCCACACAGCTGATAAGTGGTGGATCCATCTTGAATTTGACTTCTAGACACTCCCTTTTCATAGGACAGTGGGAGTTTAATCATGGACAACAATTCTTCTTCAGATTAGAACTTAATTGGAGGACAGATTGGCAGCTCAGCCGACCTTACTGTCATCGCCATTAGCCAAATAAAGATAAACCTTGACACTGCCAGTTTCCTCAATATTCTCATGCATTCATTTCTTGGAATTGACAAACCATGGACCAGAGGTCAAAAGATTCTGTGAGGGTCAGGCATCTTGGAGACATTACTGAGTTTCTAGATGGGTTGACATTTTAGAATGAAGCTTTTCTGGAAAGGAGACTGGATTACAGGTGCTAAAAGACTTGCTTGCTATGGATGGCTAAGGAGGCACCTGTCTTGTGCCAACAACCACACACCTCAAATGTGGAATTAGAGAACAGTGTAGTGAATGAAGTCATCACACTCACCTCCCACACACGTCGGGCATTCTAAGAAACCTTGGATCTCTCATCTTTCATCCCAATTGTGTAGCAAATATTTCTAAACCTTTGCCAGATTACCAAGAGAGTTTTAAAATTTAATTTCAAGGACCAACCAAGTACCTGATGGATTTTGTCATATCTGAAGACCAGAGAAGGCTGTTCTTGAAAAAGAAAACATAATTTTGGCAATAGTGAATATATAGTGACACCAGTTCAGAAAGAAGTTCTTTTAGAATTTTGACTCTGCTTACCTCTAGGAAATTAAAATCCAATAATAGAGAATTATAAATATCTTGGTTACTGTGATACTTTTAATGGCCAAAGTAACCCGGGCAATTCTATAAGTGACACAGAGCTATTCTTTTTTTTTTTTTTTTGAGACAGAGTCTCGCTCTGTCCTCCAGGCTGGAGTGCAGTGGCACGATCTCGGCTCACTGCCAGCTCCGCCTCCCGGGTTCATGCCATTCTCCTGCCTCAGCCTCCCGAATAGCTGGGACTACAGGCGCCCGCCACCATGCCCGGCTAATTTTTTTTTGTATTTTTAGTAGAGACGGGGTTTCACCATGTTAGCCAGGATGGTCTTGATCTCCTGCCCTTGTGATCCACCTGCCTCGGCCTCCCACAGTGCTGGTATTACAGGCGTGAGCCACCGCGCCCGGCCTTTAAAGTTAGAAAGGAGGTGATTCTATGTTTGTAGACCCAGGTTTATATACCACCATTCACAATAGCCAAAAGATGGAGGCCAGGTACGACAGCTCACACCTCTAATCTCAGCACTTTGGGAGGCCCAGGCAGGCAGATTGCTTGAGCCCAGGAGTTTGAGACCAGCCTGGGCAACATGGAGGAACCCTGCCTCTACCAAAAAAATATAAAAATTAGCTGGGTGTGGTGGGATGTGCCTGTAGTCCCAGCTACTTAGGAGGCTGAGGTGGGAGGATCACTTGAATCTAGGAGGCAGAGGTTGCAGTGAGCCAAGATGATGTCACTGTGCTCCAGCCTGGGCAACAGAGTGAGACCCTGACAAAATATAAATAAATAAAATATATAAATAAATAAATAAATAGAAAGAAGGGAAGAAAGAAAGGAAGGAAGAAAGAAAGAAAGGAAGGAAAGAAAGAGAGAAAGAAAAAAGAGGGCAGCAGCTCAAGTGTCTACTGATGGCTGAATGAATAAGCAAAATGTGGTATGCATATATAATGGAATATTACTCAGCCTTATAAAGGAAGGAAATTCTGACACAGGTAAAAATAAGAATGAACATTGTGGACATTATGCTAACTGAAATAAGCCAGTCACAAAAAGACAAATGCTGTATGATTCCAGTCTTATGAGATATCGACTATCTCATTTAATATTTCCTAATAAGAAACAATAGATGAATTGTTACTGGTTTTCACTAGCTAAAATTAAGATCAAGATGACATCTTCAAAATGCTGCTGTGAAATGTCAACACAGAACTCCGTACCTAATTGAACTACTATTCAGAGTGAATTTGAAATATAGACTATTTTAAATGACCTAAAACTATAGGAAGTTCAACACTCTTTTTCATTGTAAGACACAAAAGGATGGGCTTTGATAGCAATGAAATTGAACTCGAAAGGAAATAATGAGATAAAAGGAGCAACAGTGAGAATAGAAATGGGAAAATATGTTGATAAATCCCAAGAGCACCGACTATAAAATACAATAATACTGATGTCTAATTTGGAAGGTGGAGTCAAAAATGAGACAATAAATATCAATACATTTTGGTGAACCAATATTGTATAGACCACATTAAAAATAGCTTGTAGAGCTTCAGTTCTAAATTTTGTTTGTTTTATTCCAGTATGTTTTACAAATATTAACTATATTGTGCTTAATCAGGTGTACATGTTAATATGCTAAGAAAACAGCTAAAATGATAAAAATTATAAGTTTAACTTCCAAATTAGTAGAGAAAAAGAATGAAGAAAATGAGATTAATCAAGTAGAAGTTTGGAAAGGAAAAAGAAAAGAAGAAGAAAAAGCCCAAGGTAAATAGAAAACAAATGCAATGGCAGAAATAATTTTAATATTACTAATCATAATAAATTTAAATGTACTATGTTTCAGTCAAAAGACAGAGATTTTTGGACATTTAAAAATTCAGCTATACCCCAATTGTGAAAGATATACATAATCAAATGGACACAGACCTTGAACGTCAAGAGTTAAGAAAAAATATTCTAGACAATACTACCCCAAACCAACCTTGTATAATAGTTAATGTAGAATTTAAAGTGAAAAGCATTAAATAGGAACATGTTATAATGATATTAATGATAAAGAGAGTAATTGGCCAGGAAGGTATAACAATTCTGAGCCTGAATACATTGAACAACACAGCATCAAAATATAAAAAACAAGGCTGGGTGCAATGCCTTGTACCTGTAATTCCTACACTTTGGAAGGTTTAGGTGGGAGGATTGCTTGAGACCAGGAGTTCAAAACCAGCCTGGGCAACATAGTGAGACCCCATCTCTACCAAAAAAAAAAAAAAAAGAAAAAAAAAGAAAGACAGAAAGAAAGAAAAAGAAAAAAAGGCAGGTTTGTATAGAGAAATAAACCAAAACTACCTACAATTAATTATATTGAGATATTTTAGTACACCTGTATCAGAAACTGACGGATGAAGCATTAAGATATTTTGAGTATCTGTATGAATACAGACAATTTTAACTATACAATCAGTAAATTGATTCCCCATCCCTCTATCTGTGTGTGTATGTGTGTGCATCTGCACTCAACAAATAAAGAATGCATATCCTTTTCAGGCACATGTGGAATATTTATAAAAATTGTTAAATACTACCTCATAAAGAAAATCTCAAAAAATACCGAAGAATCAATATCATTTAGATAAAATCAGAAATCAATATTAAAAGCAGAACTCAAGACTGAAAATATAACCAAAGGTACATCAGTGTTGTGTGGGAAACAAAAAAAATAAAAATTAAATTAAAAAAATAACCAAAGGAACCCATATATTTGAAAGCTAAAATACAAACCACAAATAAAACAAAGAAATGACTAAGGAAAAACTAACAAACAAAATAAAACCCCACCTTTCTAAATACTTAAGAATAAAACAAAATTGAAAATGGAAATGTAAAAATAGTTCAAACTAAAAAACAATGAAAACACTATTTACCCAAACTTGCAGAATACAGCAAAAATAGTACTTTGAGATAAATTTGTAGTGTTAAATGTATATATTAGAAAAGAAAGACTTTAAGTAAGGACAAAGCTAATCATTCAGTTAATTTCTAAAAAGACAACATAAACTCCAAGAAAGTAGAAAAGAAGATATAATAATGTTAGCAATAAAGATTAACAAAATAGAAAACAAAGAGCCAACAAAGGCCAGAGGCACAGTGGCTCACACCTGTAATCCCAGCACTTTGGGAGGCCTAGAAGGGAGGACTGCTTGAGGCCAGGAGTTCAAGACCAGCCTGGGGAACATAGTGAGAACCACCCCCCCCGCCCCACCCAATCTCTGAAAGAAGGAAGGAAGGGAGGAGGGAGGGAAGGAGGGAAGGGAAGAGGAGGGGAGGGAGGGGGGAGGGGAAAGGAGGGGAGGGGAGGAGAGGGGAGGGGAGGGAACGGAAGGAAAGGGAAGGGAAAGGAAGGGAAAGGAAGGGAAGGGAGAAAGAAAGAAAGAGTTGCACTATCTCAGCTGACTGCAACCTCTGCCTCCCGGGTTCAAGCAATCTTTCCACCTTAGCCTTCCGAGTAGCTGGGACTGCAGGTGCAGGCCACCACACCAGGCTAATGTTTAGTAGAGATGGAGTTTCCCCATGTTGTCAAGGCTTGTCTTGAACTGCTGGGCTCAAGCAATCTGCCCGCCTCGACTTCCCAAAGTGTTGGAATTATAAGCGTGAGCCACTGCACCTGGCAGATATAGACAAGCTTAATAGACCTATAACAATTAAATTGGTAAATCTTAATAAAAATGTAGCACCCTCTGTCCTAAAATACACAAATCGTCGTTTCAGATTGTTTTATACACAAATTCTACCATAACTTTGAGGAACAGATTATCTTTATGTTACAATGCAAAAAAAAAAAAAAAAAAAGAAAAGAAAAAAGAAAACGAAGAAGAAAAAAGAAACGGTAACAACAAACCACAACAAATACTGGAGAGAAATGTATAGGCCAATCTATTTATAAATATAAATGTAAATCATCCTAAATAAGTTTTTAGTAAGCTAAATTCACATGATAAGCAAATAAGCCTTATCCTAGGATTCTAAGAATTTTTTTTTTTTTTTTTGGGGATGGAGTCTTGCTCTGTCGCCCAGGCTGGACTGCAGTGGCGCGATCTCGGCTCACTGTAAGCTCCGCCTCCTGGGTTCACGCCATTCTCCTGCCTCAGCCTCCAGAGTAGCTGGGACTACAGGCGCCAGCCACCACGCCCGGCTAATTTTTTTGTATTTTTAGTAGAAACGGGGTTTCACCGCGTTAGCCAGGATGGTCTCCATCTCCTGACCTCGTGATCCACCTGCCTCAGCCTCCAAAAGTGCTGGGATTATAGGGGTGAGCCACCGCGCCCGGCCAGGATTCTAAGACTTTTTAACATTTAGAAATCTATTCGGCCGGGCATGGTGGCTCACGCCTGTAATCCCAGCTTTGGGAGGTCGAGGCAGGTGGATCACCTGAGGTCAGGAGTTCGAGACCAGCCTGACCAACATGGAGAAACCCCATCTCTACTAAAAACCAAAAACTAGCCAGGCATGGTGGCAGGCACCTGTAATCCCAGTTACTCGGAGGCTGAGGCAGGAGAATTGCTTGAACCCGGGAGGGGGAGGTTGCGGTGAGCTGAGATCATGCCATTGCACTCCAGCCTGGTCAACAAGAGCGAAACTCCATCTCAAAAAAAGAAAAAGAAAAAGAGAAAAAAGAAATCTATTCATGTAAATTAGCTTGACTTTAATAGATTAAAAGAAAAAATAAAAGCACTAAATAAATCTAGAAAGCATTTGCTAAGATTCAATATTGATTTAAGATAAAACCTTTGGCCAATCTGGAATGAAAGGAAATTGCCTCTCCTTAATAAAAGATATCTATTCACAGTTAGTATCACACTTAACATTGGAATATGAGAAACATTCTCTTTGAAGTCAGGAATGTAACTGTAATCAACATGCTACTGGATGTGACTATGAAGATACCAAGTTGTCATTTCAGATAATGTGCTTTTACTAGAAAATGTAAGAAAACCTACAGATAAATGCTATAAGGTAATAAGTTTTTTGACAGTATCAGTGTTCAAAAATCAATAGCACAATTGAGAAAATCAATGACACTGAAATTAAGCCTTCTAGTTAGATTGATGAAGAAAAAAACAGAAGATTCAAATGACTTAAGAATCAGGAGTGAAAGAGGAAACATTACTACCAATCTTACAAAGTAAATAACATTATAGGAGAATATGAATATGAATAATCGAACACTGACAGATAACTTACATACAATTGGCAGATTCCTAGAAACACAAAAATTACTGAAACTGACTCAAGAAGAAATAGAAAATCTGAACAGATCATAACAAGTAAAGAGATTGAATCAGTAATCAAAAAACTTCCCACAAAGAAACGCACAAGGCCAGATGTTTTCGCTGTTGCATTGTACCAAACATTTCAAAAAGAATTAACACCAATCTTTCATGAACTCTTCCAAAAAATAAAACAGTAGGAAACATTTCCAAACTCTTTCTCTGAGTTGAGTATTACCCTGATATCAAAACCAGACAAAGATATCACAAGAGGAGAATACTACAGACCAACAGCCTTTATGAATATAAATGAAAAAGTCCTTACTGAAACATTAGAAAACTAAATCCATAAATATATCAAAAGGATTATACATCATGATCAAAAGCGATTTATCCCAGGAATGAAAGGTTGTTTTAAAATCTGGAAATCAATCAAAATAACACTTCATATTAATAGAATAAATGACAAAATCCAGACAATCAACTCAATCCAGACAAGAAACAGCTTTTGACAAAATCTAACACCTTTTCATGATAAAAACACTCAATAGGCAGGAAGTGGTGACTCACACCTGTAATCCTAGCACTTTGGGAGGGTGAGGTGGGAGTATTGCTTGAGCCCAGGAGTTAAAGACCAGCCTGGGCAACATGACGAGATCCTGCCTCTGTAAAAAATTTAAAAAATTAGCCATGTGTGGTGGCACATGCCTGTAGTTCCAGCAACTCTGGAAGCTGAGGCAGGAGGATTTTTTGAGCCCAGGAGGTCCAGGCTGCAATGAACCATGCTTACACCACTGCACTCCAGCCTGGGTGACAGAGTCAGACTTTGTCTCGAGAAAAAAGAAAGAAAAGAAAAAGAAAAATAAAAAACCCTCAACAATGTAGGAATAGAAAGGCACTTCCTAAACCTGATATAAGGCATCTATAAAAAATCCATAACTAACAACATATTTCCAATGGTGAAAGGAAAAGTTTCCCCTTAGATCAGGAACAAGAAGAGAATGTACATTCTCATCACTTCTATTCAATATTGTAGTGGAGGTTCTGTCCAGGGTTGTTAGTCAAGGAAAAGAAAGAAAAGGATTTGAAAGGAAAAAGTAAAATTTCTGTTTGCAGATGACATGGTTTTGTATATAGAAAATACTAAGGAATCCACAAAAGAAACTATTAGAGCTAATAAATTCAGCATGTTTGCAGGACATACAAAATATACAAATCAGTTCTAGTTCTATACACTAGCAATGGATAATCTGAAAGTGAAATCAAGAAAACAATTCCATTTGTAATAGCATCAAAAGAATAAAATACTTAGGAACAAATTTAATGAAAGCAGCGCATGCAAGACTTGTACATTGAAAACTACAAAGCATTGCTGAAATAAATTCTTTCTTCCTTTTAGATGTCGTTAGTGTCTCAGCAAAAGATCTAAATAAATGGAAACATATCCCATGTTCATGTATTGGCAAACTTATTGTTAAGATGACAATACTCCCTAGATTGACATGTAGAGTGGATACAATCCTAAATCCCAACACAATATCAAAATTCCTGCTGCTTCTTGTTTTGTTGTTGCACAAATTGACATGCTGGTCCTAAAATTCATATAGAAATGCAAGAGACCCAGAGTAGCCAAAACACTATCTAAAATGAAAAATAAAGTTGAAGGACTCAAACTTCATAATTTCAAAACTTAACGCAAAACTAGAGTAATCAAGACTGTGTGGTACTGGCAGGAGGGTAAACATATAGATCAATAGAATAAAATTGAGGGCCCTGAGATAAACTCATACATCTATAGTTAATTGATTTTCAACAAGGATACCAATTCAATCTGGTGGGAGAAGACGAGTCTCTTCAACAAATAGTGCTGGACAACTGGACATTCATATGCAAAAGAATAAACTTGGACCCGTAGTTCACACATATACACAAATTTACTCAAAATGGATCAAAGACCTAAATATAAGAGCTAAAATCACAGAACTCTTAGAATAAAACATAGGTGTAAGTCCTTGTAAACTTGGGTTATGCAATGGTTTCTTAAACATAACTTTCAAAGCTCAAGCAACCGAAGAAAATATTGGAATTAATAAAAATTAAAAACTTTCGTGTTTTGAGGACACTACCAAGAAAAATGAATAGATAACTTACAGAATGGGAAAAAATATTTGAAAATCATATATCTGATGAGGGCCTAGGATCCAGGACTAAAAAAGAACTCTTACAACTCAATAACACAAAGACAATCCAATTAAAATGGGCAAAGGATTTGAATATACAGTTCTCCAAATAAGATACACAAATGGCCAACAAGTACATGAAAAGATGGTCAACATCACTATTAATTAGGGAATGCAAATCAAATCCACAGTGAGATAAACCCACTGGAATGGCTATAGTTTTTTAAAAAGGACAATAACAAGTGTGGGTGAAGTTGTGGAGAAACTGGAACCCTCAGTTATTACTGGTGAGAATGTAAAATGGTGTAGCCACTTTGGAAATGTTAACTAGAGTTGCCATATGACCCAACTATTCCACCTTAGGTACACACCCAAGATAACTGAAAATATATATTATACAAAAATTTGTACACAAATGTTCATAGCAACATTATTTATAATAGCCCAAAGTGGAAACAATTCAAATGTCCCTCAGCTAATACATGGACAAGCAAATATTTATCCTGATAATGAAATATTACTCAGCCATGAAAAGGAATGAAGTTCTGATACATGCTGCAACATGGATGAAACCTGAAAGTATTATACTAAGAGAAAGAAGCCAGATGCAAAAGGCCACATACTGTATGGTTTCATTTATGTGAAATTATTTATCAGAATAGTCAAATCTATAGGAAGAAGACAAGTGGTTTTCAGGGACCAGGATGAAGAGCACATGGGCAGTGACAGCTCCGGGTTACAGGATTTCTTTTCGGGATGATAAAAATGTACTAGAATTAGCAGTGGTGGTTGGCCAACCTTGTGAATATATTAAAAACCACTAAATTGTATAATTTAAAAGGGTGAATTTTATACTATGTGAATTATTTCTCAATTTGAAAAAATCAATAGCGTTCCTGAGCAACACCTAATTAAAAAGATAACTTAATAAATTAACTTAAAATATCAAGAAAAAGGCCGAGGGTAGTGGCTCATGCCTATAATCCCAGCTGTTTGGGAGGCCGAGGCAGGAAGATTGCTTGAGCTCAGGAGTTTATGATTAGCCTGGGCAACATGGTGGGACCCCGTTTCCATGGAAAAAAAAAAAAAGAAAAAAACCACGAACAAACAAACAAAAAAATTAGCTGGGCATGGTGATGAATGCCTTTGGTTCCAGTTACTTGGGAGGTTGAGGTGGCACAGCTGCACTCCAGCCTGGGCGACAGAGTGAGGCTCTGTCAAAAAAAAAAAAAAAAAAAGAAAAAAAGAAAAGAAAAGAACTCTTAGGTAACTAGGAATAAATCTAACAATGATTTGCTACTGATTGAGGAGATTCTAAAATTTTATTGAAGGCCGTAAAAGAAGATCTACATAAATGGAGAGGAATTGCATATTTGTGGATGATGGCAATTACATTACAATGTTAATTGTCCTAAATGAATTTATAAATTTATTGCAATTCTAATAGAAAGCCAGGGCTTTTATTGTGTATGTGAACTTGACAAATTGATTTTAAACATTATATGAGGACAAAGAGCTAAGAATAGCCAAGAGAATCATGAGAAGGAAGTAGAGAGATCTCCCTACCAAATAACAAGGTTTATCATAAAACTATAGCAATTAATACTGTGTAGAATAGCCATAGAGATAGTAAAATAGACTAACACAGTACAATGAAAAGCCCAGAAACAGACCCATGTCTGGTGGAAAACTGGTCTATGGACGTTTGGCAATTGAAACATTTACATGGAAAATAAAGTAAGTTTCTAACCTCATACCATACTCAAAAATAAATTCACATTTTGGAGTAAAGACAAAATGTAAAAAACTTTTAGAACAGGAAAATATATAGGAGAATATTTTTATGACCTCAGGACAATGAATTATTTCTTAAACACGACACAAAAAGTACAAATAAAAAGATAAATTTAATTAACATTAAACTTAAAAATTTAAGCAGAGGCAAAAGACATAAATTAAGTAAAATCAAGTTTAGGATGGAAAAGATATTTACAAGCATACGATCAATGAAGAATTAATATCTAGAATACTTAAAGCACTTATATAAATTAATAAGAAAAAGACAAAAAATATTGAAAATTGAAAGGTTGTGACCAAGAAATCCACAGAAAAGGACACTCAAGCGGCCAATAAACTAGTGATTGAAGCGCAATTTGACTAATCATGAGGACAATGCAAATTATTATTATTTTTAACCTTTTTTTCATAGGTTATTGGAGTATAGGTGGTGTTTGGTTACATGAGTAAGTTCTTTAGTGGTGATTTGTGAGATTTTGGTGCACCCATCACCCAATCAGTATACACTGCACCCTATTTTTTTTTTTTTTTTGAGACAGAGTTTTGCTCGTTGCCCAGGCTGGAGTGCAACGGCGCCTTCTCGGCTCACCGCAACATCTGCCTCCCGGGTTCAAGCGATTCTCCTGCCTCAGCCTCCTGAGTAGCTGGGATTACAGGCATATTCTAACACACCTGGCTAATTTTGTATTTTTAGTAGGGATGGGGTTTCTCCATGTTGGTCAGGCTGGTCTTGAACTCCCATCCTCAGGTGATCCTCCTGCCTTGGCCTCCCAAAGTGTTGGGATTACAAGCGTGAGCCACCACACCTGGCCCCCTATTTGTAGTCTTTTATCCCTTGCCCCCTCCCACCCTTCCCCCACAAGTCCCCATAGTCCATTGTATCCTTATGCCTTTGCATCCTCATAGCTAAGCTCTCACATATCAGTGAGAATATACGATGTTTGGTTTTCCATTCCTGAGTGACTTCACTTAGAATAATAGTTTCCAATCTCATCCAGGTCACTGCAAATGCTGTTAATTCATTCCTTTTTATGGCTGAGTAGTATTCCATTTATATATATATATATATATATATATATATATATATATATAAATCTCACAGTTTCTTTATCCATTTGTTGATTGATGGGCATTTGGGTTGGTTCCATGATTATGCAATTGTGAATTGTGCTGCTATAAACATGCGTGTGCAAGTATCTTTTTTGTATAATGACTTCTTTTCCTCTGGGTAGATACCCAGCAGTGGGATTGCTGGATCAAATGGTAGTTCTACTTTTAGTTCTTTAAGGAATCTCCACACGGTTTCCATAGTGACTGTACTAATTTACATTCCCACCAGCAGTGTAGAAGTATTCCCTGATCAGTACATCCACACCAACATCTTCTGTTTTTTTATTTTTTAATTATGGCCATTCTGAGCAATGCAAATTATAACAATTATAACAACCAATCACACCCATCAAGTTGGGAAAATTAACAGGACTAATAATTCACCAAGTGTTGAATTTTCACCAGTTGTTAGTAAAAACGTGAGGAAACAGGAATTCTTAGACATCCCTATTGGAAGTATAAATTGCTACCATCACTTTGGAGAATAATTTGGTAATATCTAATAAATTTCAAGGTGTGCATACCCTTCAACCGACCCAACAACTCTTTTTCT
This sequence comes from Homo sapiens, assembly GCF_000001405.40. Lineage (NCBI taxonomy): Eukaryota > Metazoa > Chordata > Mammalia > Primates > Hominidae > Homo > Homo sapiens. The sequence continues at coordinate 88,588,644 of NC_000015.10, read as the reverse complement.
AGGTACATACCCTAAAGAAGTTTTTAGACATTGTCACCACGAATAATTTGCCATGAACAAGAATGTTCACTGCAGCACTACTTGGAAATAGTAAGATGTAGAAACAGCTTAAATATCCATTGATAAGAAAATGGATAAATAAACTGTGGTCTATTTATGTAATAAAATACTATAATTCAGTGAAAAAATATATTGATCAATTAACTTGCAGCTCTACATGTATCCAGTTGGACATCTAGAAACTTATGTTCGGTGAGAAAAAAAAAGTTATAAAAAGATTCACAAACTATCATGTGAATACACAAAAGTAAAACAAAGTAAAGCATGATACTAATACAGATTGTTATAGGTAAATACAGATGAAGTAAATTTGTTGTTATTTTTGTTTGGCTTTTTGTTGTTGTGGTTGTTGTTTTGAGGCAGAGTCTCTCTGTCATCCAGGAGGGAGTGCAGTGACTCGATAATGGCTCATTGCAGCCTCAACCTCCTAGAATCAAGCGATCCTCCACCTCAATTTTTTTATTTTTTTGTAGAGACAAGGTCTTGCTATGTTACCCAGGCTGGTCTGGAACTGCGGGGCTCAAGCAATCCTCCTCCCTCAGCCTCCCAAAGTCGTAGGATTATAGACGTGAGCCACTTCACCCAGCCTGAAATAAATGTTTAATAACATGGATTGAAGGATATGTATCAACTTCAGGAAAGTAATCACCTCTGGCAGGGAAGGGAAGAAATGGGATGGTGACAACTGTATTTGTATTGTTTTATTTTTTTATATTTATTTATTTATTTTGAGATGGAGTCTCACTCTGTCACCCAGGCTGGAGTGCAGTGGCACGATCTCAGGTCACTGCAATCTCTGCCTCCTGGATTCAAGCGATTCTCCTGCTTCAGCCTCCTGAGTAGCTGGGATTACAGGCATGCACCACAACACCCGGCTAATTTTTGTATTTTTAGTAGAGACAGGGTTTCCTCATGTTGGCCAGGCTGGTCTCGAATTCCTGACTTCAAGTGATCCGCCCACCTCAGCCTCCAAAGGGCTGGGATTACAGATGTGAACTACTGCGCCTGGACTGACAACTGTATTTGTATTGTTTTATCTCTTGCTAAAAAGCATCTGAAGCAAATACATTAATAGTTGTTAAAACTGAGAAGTAGACATGTGGCTCTCTTTTCATATTTTCTGTATTTTATATATCTTTGAAATATTTAATAATTTATTCTAAAAAGTAAATACAATCTTTGTTTTGTTTGACAGTAGAAATTGATGTTTGATACTGGGGAGTCCTTTAACCTCTGTCGCGTAGGTTCTCCTTACTCAAAGGGGAATGGTGACCCTTCTTTTTCTATCTGATAGGGTTTTGGTGAGAATCAAATATACTCATACACAAGAGAGCACTTTGCAAACTATAAATTCTTCTTAATGCATGATACTTTTGTTATCATGTAAAATGAAATGGCAAAAAAAAAGAAATAATGAGCTAAGAACAGATCATTCTGAGATTTACAACTACAGCTCACACTAATTTTGAATTAGGTTATAGATAAAGAAAAGGTACTCAATTTCCTCTTCATATTTCCCCAGGGTGTTCTAAACCATGTAGATAAAGGCCACTTGCCCAGGAAGGGGGAGCAAGAAGGTCCTGGTTTCACCGTGAACATAAATCACTGTTTTGGCAGTCTACCATACTATCCATCAGACTAGCCTTTCAGAGGAAAATGCCAGAGGCAGCAACTGAAAACAGCTTGTAGGAGTCATCAGTTAGTCACTGAAGCAAATCATTTGAGAGAAGATAAAGACGAGCTCTTGACATTCCTGGGACAAGAAGACCTGCCCTGTGAGGCTCGCCTGTGAGCGGCTCAGCTTCTCCTACCCTGGGTAAGGTAATTGATGAGTTAGTTAATATGCACAGGAGATGCAGCACTGTCAAAAGAAGATGGACTGCTTCTAGTCCTCACTGTCATTACTAAGATGATCTCAGCCTTTCAACTTGACTGGGAGAAACCAATTTCCTGGGGGAAGTCTCAATAAAATTGTTTTCCTATCATCAGGTGGAAATCTTGTTAAGTGCTCCAAGGACCCTTGGTTTTATGGGTTTGTTTTTACAGCCCCCAGCAGCCTTGGCTAGGATTTCATTCTAAAATAACATTTCCTCTCTGTAAAAAATGTCTTGTTGCTCCAGGCTCTGGGGCTGAGTGACCCTCATGAGTTTTTGACTGCAGGAGGCCAAGGGGTGAAATGGAGGTTTGCAATTTATGTCAAATATGCACACAGGGACACACAGTTGGATCTGTCCCTTCTGCTTCCTCTTTTTTAGAAGATGAGATGATGACTCCTGCTGTGACTATCCTGACAGTACCCCCATTCAACAATTCAGAATTAGCAGTAGATGTACAGTAAATTTGTTTTTTTCCTTTTAAATAGACTTTATTTTTTTCTTAGAACAGTTTTAGGTTCACAGCAAACTTGAGCAGAAAGTAGAGTTTCCATTACACTCCCTACTCCAACACATGCACAGCCTTCCCCCATTGTCAACATCGTACACCAGAGTGATACATTTGTTACATTGATGAACCTACATGGACACATCATTATCACCCAAAGTCCACAGTTTGCATTAGGGTTCACTCTCGATGTTATACATTTTATGGATTTGGACAAATGTATAGTGGCATATATCCACCATCATAGTACCCTACAGAGTAGTTTCTTGGCCTTAAAAATCTGTACTCCACCTATTCATCCCCCCTCCCTTCCTAACTCCTGGCAACCACTGATCTTTTTGCTGTCTTCCTATTTTTGCTTTTTCTAGAATGTCATACAGTTGGAATCTTACAATAGGCTACATACAAAGGCTACAGCCTTTCCAGATTGGCTTCTTTCACTTAGTAAAACACATTTAAAGTTTCTCTGTGTCTTTTCATAGCTTGATATCTCACCTCTTAGCACCTGATTATTTGGTACAAAATAATATTCCCTTGTCTGGATCTACCACAGTTTATTTATCCTTTCACCTACTGAAGGACATCTTGGTTGCTTCCAAGTTTTGTCAATTATGAATAAAGCTGCTATAAACATCTGAGTGCCGGTTTTTGTCTGTTCATCAGTTTTCAACTCCTTTGGGTAAATAGTAAGGAAAATGATTGCTGGATATATGGTAAGAATATGTTTAGTTTTGTAAGAAACTGCCAAACCATCTTCCAAAGTGCCTGTACCATTTTGTATTACCACCAGTAATGAATGAGAGTTCATGTTGCTCCATGTCCTCACCAGCATTTGTTTTTTCCATGTTATGGATTTTGGTCATTCTCGTAGACATGCAGTGGTATCTCGCTGTGTTAACTGGTACTTTCCCAATGACATAGGATATGGAGAATCTTTTCATGTGCGTATTGGGCATCTGTATGTCTGCTTTGGTGAATTGTCTGTTCAGATCTTCGGCCCATTTTTTAATCAGTTTGCTTTCTTGTTGTTGAGTTTTAAGAGTTCTTTGTCTATTTTGAGTAACAGTCCATTATCAGATGTGTCTTTTAAAAATATTTTCTCCCAGCCTGTGGCTTGTCTTCCCATTTTCTAACAGTGTTTTAGACAGAGGAGAAATGTCTGATTTTAATGAAGCCTGGCTTATCAATTATTTCTTTTCCTTTTTCTTTTTTTTTTTTGTTGAGACGGAGTCTCGCCCTGTTGCCCAGGCTGGAGTGCAATGGTGCGATCTCACCTCACTGCAACCTCTGGCTCCCGGGTTCAAGCAATTCTTCTGCCTCAGCCTCCTGAGTAGCCAGGATTATAGGCACATGCCACCATGCTCAGCTAATTTTTTATATCTTTGGTGGAGACGGAGTTTCACCATGTTGGCTGGGCTGGCCTCAAATCCCTGACCTCGTGATCCACCTGCCCTGGCCTCCCAAAGTTCTGGGATTACAGGTGTGAGCCACTGTGCCCGGCCACAGTGAATTATTTTATGAATTGTGCCTTTGGTGTTGTATCTAAAAAGTCATCACCACGACCTCACCATGTCCAAGGTCATAAAGGTTTTCTACTATGTTATCTTCTAGGAGTTTTATAGTTTTGCATTTTATATTTAGGTCTGTGATATATTTTGAGTTAATTTTTGTGAAGGGTATAAGATCTGTGTCTAAATTCACTTTTTTTTTTTTCTTGCAGTGGATGCCCATTTTTTCCATCACCATTTGTCAAAAAGCCTATCTTTGTTCCACTGTATTGCCTTTGCCCCTTTGTCAAAGGTCGGCTGACTAAATATATGTGGGTCTATTTTGGGGCTCTCTATGCTGTTCCATTGTTCTATTTGTTTATTCTTTCTCTCACACCACACTGTCTCGACTATTGCAGGGTTAGAGTAAGTCTTGAAGTTGGGCAGTATCAGTCCTCCAACTTTATTCTTTGAGATTCTGTTGGTTATTCTGGGTTTTTGGCTTCTCCATGTAGTGTGACAGTTTCCCCACTATGGCCAGGTTACTTAAGGGTGTATGTCTGCTGCCTGAATCCTGAAGACCAGGTGATAAGCCAAGGCCATGGTGCCCAGCTGAGGAGCAGGTATGCCTGAGAACCCAAACATCTTGGAGAGTGTTTGAGAGCCTACCAAGGAAAATAGTCCCATCCCACACACATAGTAGGAAAAGAGCCAGAAAATTAGCTTAAAAGCAGCTTAGGGATGGGAATTCAGCATGAATCTCTGAAGCTGCCCTGCTGCCATCCAGGAATGTCTCACATGTAAGTCCTAATAAACTCATTCTACTCACCAAGCTGGACTTTTCCAACCCATTCTTTGGTCTCCTGGCTGTCTACCAGTTCAGGGGAAGGTTTTTAAAAATATGATTTGGGGTTTTTCTTATAATACTTAATACTTAATATTTTTTTGAGATGGAGTTTTGCTCTTGTCGCCCAGGCTGGAGTGCAATGGCATAATCTCAGCTCACTGCAACCTCCACCTCCTGGGTTGAAGCGATTCTCCTGCCTCAGCCTCTTGAGTAGCTGGGATTACAGGTGCCTGCCACCAAGCCCAGCTAATTTCTGTATTTTCAGTAGAGACAAGGTTTTGCCATGTTGGCCAGGCTGGTCTCGAACTCCTGACCTCAGATGATCCACCTGCCTTGGCCTCCCAAAGTGCTGGGATTACAGGTGTGAGCCACTGCACCTGGCCTCATATAAATTTTAGAATTAGTTTGTTGATATGCACAAAATAACTTGCTGGGATTTTGATTGGTATTGCATTGAATTTATAGATCTACTTGGAAAGAATTAAAATCTTGGCAATATTGAGTCTTCCTATCCATGAACATGGAATATCTTTCCATCAATTTAGTTGTTTTGTTTTGCTTTGTTTGTTTGTTTTGAGCCAGGGTCTGGCTCTGTCACCCAGGCTGCAGTGCACTACTGCAATCTTGGCTCGCTGTAACCTCTGCCTCCCAGGCTCAAGCCAACCTCCCACCTCAGCCTCCCGAGTAGCTGAGGCTATAGGCATATGCCACCACGCCCAGCTAATTTTTGTATTTTTTGTAGAGATGGGGTTTCGACATGTTGCCCAGGCTGCTCTTGAACTCCTGAGCTCAAGCCTGCCCATCTCGGTCTACCAAAGTGATGGGATTAGAGTCATGAACCACTGTGCCTGGCCTCCATTAATTTAGTTTTTTAAAAATTAATGTTTTCAGCATTTTGCAGTTTTCTTTACATAGATTACATATCCTTGACATCCTTGTCTTGTTCCTAATGTTAGTGGGAAAGTTTCTGCTTCTCATTAAGTAGAATGTCAGCTGTAGGTTTTTTTGGTAGATGTTCTTTACCAGTAGAGGTAGTTTCTCCTCTATTCCTACTTTTCTGAGAGTTTTTACCAAAGATTTTATCAAAGTATTTTACCAAAATATTTCATTTCGGGGGTGCTAATGTAAATAGGTGTTGGATTTTGCCAAATGTGTTTTCTACATCTGTTGATAAGGTTGTGTGGTTTTCCTTCTTTAGCCTGTTGATTAAGTGGATTATATTAATTGATTTTTGAATGTTGAACTAGCCTTACATAACTGAGATAAATCCCATTTGGTCTTGGTGTATAATTCTTATTATATATTGCTGGATTCAGTTTGTTAACAATTTGTTGAAGATTTTTGCATCTATGTTCATAAGAGATATTGGTATGTAGTTTTCTTTCTTATAATGTCTGGTTTTGGTATCAGAGTAATGTTGGCCTCAAAAGATGAGTTAGGAAGTACTCCTGCTGATTGTATTTTCTGAGAGAGATTTTAGAGAATTTATATAATTTCTTCCTTAAGTGTCTGGTAGACACTTCAGTGACCCCCTCTTGGCTATTAATTTTTTATTAATTTATTTTTAATTCATTTTGACTAATATCATTGCTACCAGCTTTGTTTAATAGTAATAGTCCCTTATAACTGTATAAAGTAATAGTACTTTATAACCCACTATCAGAGTGGTTATGGGAAAAACAGGCTACATGATTTGTGAGACCTGGAGCAAAATGAAAATGGGGCCCTTTGTTTAAAAAATATTAAGAATTTCAAGATGGCAATAATAGAGAATTAAATCAAATGTAGGGCCCTTCTAAGCATGGGCCCTGTATGTCTATAAAAGTCAAATGCCTTGAAGCCAACCCTGACTGTAGGGCCCAGAAAGTGAAGCCTAACAGGGATGGGAAGTCCTTTTGAACTTAGGAAGGAACTAGCATTTATTGAGCATTTACTGTGCCTGGCACATTGTCATAATAGGTGTTTAATGAGTGTTTATTAAATAAATCCCAGTGAATTCTCACAACCACTCTATGAGGTGCATACTATTTCCCCAATTTTACTGATCCAGCATCTGAGGCTTGGAGAGGTAAGAAAGTGTGCCTAAAGCACAAGGCTAGGTACCAGCAGAGTGACAATTCAAATCAGAATTTTCTGAGTCTTGGCCAGGCGTGGTGGCTCACGCCTGTAATCCCAGCACTTTGGGAGGCTGAGGCGGGAGGATCCCGAGGTCAGGAGATCGAGACCATCCTGGCTAACACGGTGAAACCCCGCCTCTACTAAAAACACAAAAAATTAGTCGGGCGTGGTGGCGGGCGCCTGTAGTCCCAGCTACTCCGGAGGCTGAGGCAGGAGAATGGCATGAACCCGGGAGGCAGAGCTTGCAGTGAGCCCAGATCGCGCCACTGCACTCCAGCCTGGGCGACAGAGCGAGACTCCGTCTCAACAACAACAACAAAAAGAATTTTCTGAGTTTTAAGCCCATACCCAGGCCAAGGCAACATGCTGAAGATTGTGCCTGCAAAAGCTCAGGGGAACTTCTGCCTGTGGAATATTCATGGAGAGCAGTGCTACATCCAAAAGCTTTGGGACTAATATGTAGGTGCTGTCGAGGGTTGGAAAGACCAAAGCAGGTCAGTTAAGTGGTGGAGGACGGTGCTTAGAGGTGTAGTGGAGGAAAATGGTAATCAATCTGGAAGCCACAGGACATGCTCTGTTATCCACCGTCCCCTTCAATTTCTTCTTGGTAGAGGTGAATTGTATATTCTCTACTCCTAAAGCCTCCCACCATTACAGTCTCTATTGGACCTGCCTGTAGACAACCAGTCTGCCCTGACATCGTGTCTCCCCCAGAAATGTTGTTGGATCTAGCTCTCTAGAGGAAAGTGCTTTGGGCCTTACATCTCACAAAGGCTGGGATTTTTTATTCCTGTTCCAAGCTCCATTCCTTTTTCCCACTCTTGGAATGGAGAACTGTTGCGGCTCAAATGGAAAGGCCTTTGGTGGGGGATGGTTTTGCCCTCCCTCACCTCTAGGTCTGAGTTCAGTTTTCCTGTCATATATTTCTACAGCACTGTGGGATTTTCCTCAAAATGGGTCATATGGTGCTTAATTTCCCTGTTTACTTGTCTGTGTTCCTAGCTGGCCTGAAGCCAGCATGACGTCAGGGATTTTATGTTTTTTCAATGTCATATTCTCAGCACATAGTTGTGCCTGGCACACAGGATGCACTGATAAATGTTTGTTGGATACCGAAAGAATGGGGCAAGGGACTCTCCAAAGGCTTCCCGAGCCTCATAGTCATTACTGCAGTGATTGTAGGTTCAGAATCCTGATTTCTTGGCAGGTGGCAAGCAGATCATACCTCAGATTTGATCACGCATTAGCTGAACTCCTAGAAGCTGATGAAAATGTATGGATTTATGAGAAATATAACTTCCAAGGAGACCAGGCACAGAGATCTTTTAGTTCAATACATTTTCTCTCTGTATATGGTTTATATAGTTGGTTGGCAAATTTTGTGTAAGACATGGAGCTTTCCATAAAGAAGTCAACATTAAGAAGCCTGAACACTCATCTCCACAATTGGATAAAACTCCTAGTAGGCTGTCATTTCCTGGAGGTAGGACATTGTTCACCAGACACAGGTACCTAAGGCATTGTTTAATTTTGCTTTTCTGACTCTTTTCCTCTCTCTCTCTTTTTTAAATGTGTCACCAACCTTCCTTCTGTTAACTCTTCTTTTGCTTTATTTTATTTTAATTTTTTTAGATGAAGTCTCGCTCTGTTGCCCAGGCTGGAGTGCAGTGGCATGATCTTGGCTCACTGCAACCTCCGCCTCCTGGGTTCAAGTGATTCTCCTGTCTCAGTCTCCCGAGTCGCTGGGATTACAGGCACATGGCACCGCGCTGGGCTATGTTTTGTATTTGTAGTATAAACGGGGTTTAACCATGTTGGCCAGGCTGGTCTCGAACTCCTGACCTTAGGTGATCTGCCCGCCTCGGCATGCCAAAGTGCTGAGATTACAGGCATGAGCCACCGCTTCGAATCTCTTTCACTTTTTATTCTTAAATAATTTTAGAGTTATGGAAAGTTGCAAGAATAGTAGAGATAATTGATGTGTGTGTTTTTCAGTTTCCTCTAATGCCAACTCTATACAAAACCATAGGTCAATTTTTTTTTTTTTCAGAAATAGACACGGGGTCTCACTATATTGCTGAGTCTGGTCTTGAACTCCTGGGCTCAAGCGATCTTCCCACCTTGGCCTCCTAAATTGCTGGGATTAATTACAGGCATGAGCCACTGCTCTCACTATTTAATTAGTTCCCTGTTGATGGATGTTTAATTAGCTTTCCATTGTTTTGTCTCTCAATGACGTGGGCATGCATTATGTCATTGTAAAGGTGCAAGTATTATTGTAGGGTAAGTTCCTGGAGATGAAAATGCAGCCAGAGGGTATGTGCATTAGTAATTTCTACAGATGTTAATGTCATCTCCTTATTGAAGCTTTATTAATCTGCACTCTCATCAGTAATACATGAGGAAAGCCTTTTCCCCTTATTAACAAAATTCACCACCAGATGATTTGCTCCTTGCCAACCTAATCAGTGAAAAATAATATCTCAATGCAGTATATTAAAGTAATTTTTATTGACATGTAGCATAAAGAAATATGGACCAGCCGGGCACAGGGCTCATGCCTATAATCCCAGTACTTTGGGAGGCTGAGGCGGGCGGATCACGAGGTCAGGAGATCAAGACCATCCTGGCTAACACAGTGAAACCCCATCTCTACTAAAAACACAAAAAATTAGCTGGGCATGGTGGCGGGCACCTGTAGTCCCAGCTACTCGGGAGGCTAAGGCGGGAGAATGGCATGAACCTGGGGAGGTGGAGCTTGCAGCCATGAGCCAAAATCATGCCACTGCACTCCAGCCTGGGTGACAGAGCGAGACTCCATCTCAAAAAAAAAAAAAAAAAAAGAAAAGAAAGAAAGAAATATGGACCAATAAGTGTACAGCTCCATTCATTTTCACAAAGTAAATTAATCTATAACAGCACCCAAATCAAGAAATAGAATTTACCTAGCCCGGTGTGGTGGCAGGCGCCTGTAATCCCAGCTGCTCAGGAGGCTGAGGCAGGAGAATCACTTGAACCTGGGAGGCGGAGGTTGCAGTGAGCGGAGATTGTGCCATTGCATTCCAGCCTGGGCAACAAGAGTGAAGCTCTGTCTCAAAAAAAAAAAAAAAAGAAAGAAATAGAATTTACCAGCACCCAGAAGTTTTCCCTTATCCTCCCACTCCCTGGCCCTCAAGATAACCACTCATCTAACCTTTAACACCTTCAATTAGTTTGGCTAAAATTCCAAACTTTATATGAATATAATCATCCATGTGTCCTCTTCTTTCACTCAATATCTCAGTGAGTTTTATTTTACAATTAATTTTATTATGAGTGCAATAGAATATCATGTCATATGTTTTAAGAGCCATTTCTTTTTTGAGAGACAGGGTCTCGCTTTGTCTCCCAAGCTGGAGTACAGTGGTGAGATCACAGCTCACTGCAGCCTCAAACTCCTGAGTTCAAGACATTCTCCTGCCTCAGCCTCCCGGGTAGTTGGGACTCCAGGCATGTGCCACTATGGTTTTTGTTGTTTTTTTACAGAGATGGGGTCTCATCATATTGCCCAGGTTGTTCTCAAACTCCTGAGCTCAAGGGATCCTCTCGTTTTGGCCTCCCACTGTGCTGGGATTATAGGCATGAGCCACCACACTCAGCCAAGAGCCATTTCCCTAAATTCTCTTTTCTGTGAACTCTCTATTCATATCCTTTGGCCATGTTTTCTCTTGGGCTGGTAGTCTATATTCTTATTGATTTATAGGAGATCTTTATATATTAGGAAATTAGTCTTTTGTCTGTCATATAAGTTGTAAATATTTTTTCCTAGTTTATCATTTGCCTTTACCCATGGTGGTTTTTGCCACATTAAGAAAAAATTCCTAGGTGGTTGAATGTATCAGTTGTTTGGGATTTTTGAGGTTTGTGTCATATTTAATAAGGCTTTTCCTGTGCCAAGATTATTTTTTTAACTACCTATAATTTACCTAGTTTGGTTTACACTTACATCTTCAAACAAATTGGTTGTCTTTCATTTCTTTCTTTTACCCTCTAAGAAAACCAGAAAAGATGACTGTCTTTCATTTCTAAGTAAAGTGTAATTTTATTTTTAAATTTTCTTTTAACCTAATAGTTATTTAGGAAAATATTTTATTTTTCTAAGCAGGTGATAATTTGGTTATCCTTTTAAAACAATTACTAATCTTAAATATTATTTCTGGTGGGTGCGGTGGCTCACACCTGTAATCCCAGCACTTTGGGAGGCCAAGGCGGTTAGATCATGAGGTCAGGAGATCAAGACCATCCTGGCTAACATGGTGAAATCCTGTCTCTACTAAAACTACAAAAAATTAGCCGGGCATGGTGGCGGGTGCCTGTAGTCCCAGCTACTTGGGAGGCCGAGGCAGCAGAATCGCTTGGACCCAGGAGGCGGAGGTTGCGGTGAGCCCAGATGGTGCCACTGCACTCCAGCCTGGGTGACGGAAGAGACTCTGTCTCAAAAAAAAAAAAAAATTTCACGGTGTTCAGAGATTGTAGCTCTTTATGACTTTTGATTTTTATAATTTATCCAGTTTTTCTTTGTAGCAGATGGTACAATCAACTTTTTGAGAGTGTTCTCTGTATACTGTTTGTGTGTATACACGTAGTTTTATTGGATTTATGCGTGGTTTTTTGTGTCTATGTCATGGCCCATTCAGGCTGCTATTATTAAAAATACCATAAACTAGGTAGCTTAAAAACAACAGAAATCTATTTCTCATAGTTCTGGAGCCTGGAAGTCCAACATCAAGGTGCTGACAAATTCAGAGTCTGGTGAAGGCCCTCTTCCTAGTGAATAGATGGTGCCTTCTCACTGTGTCCTCATATGGTGGAAGGGGCAAGGGGGCTTTTTGGGGGCTTTTTGGGGCCTCTTTTTAAGAACACCAGTCCCAGTAATAAGTGTTTTGCCTTCCAAAAGACTTCACCTCCTAATATCGTCACATTGGGGGTTGGAGTTTCAACATGTAAATTTGGGGATGATGCAAACATTCAGACTATAGCAATATATATGTATATATGTATGTGTCTATATGTATACGTTGTGTGTGTATACATATACATATATGTATAAGTACATATATAATGCAATTGCAATATATTTTGTACATGATTAAGTTTAATTGTGTTATCAAATCTTTACTTATTTTTGCTTACTTGATTGATATCTTATGTATATGGTAAAAATCTTCCACTGTGGATTTATTAATTTCACTTTGTTTTTCTATGGATTTTTGCTTCGCATATTTCAAGACCGTATTCTTAAGTGCATATGGATCCATTATTTTGATATACTTTAATTTTATATACAAGTTAATACATGAACTTATTCTCATTGTTAAAATGCAAATGATACAGAAATGCAAGTGAAAACTTATTACTCAGTGCTATGTACATTAAAAGAACAATAAGATGCCATTTTTCACAACGGTTGGATTGGCAACATTTTTAAAGATTGAAAATAGTCTGTGATGGTAAGCGTGCAGGAGAAGTAGATACTCTCCTGTGTTGTTAGAGTGGAGTTCTTAGAACACTGCTGGCATATGGTAAAAGTGCAATAAATGTTACCTCTTAACACAAATGAAATTATTGGGAGGTGACATTGAAAGTTTGGTAGAGACTAGCAAAGTGTTCACCTAAAAAGCTTGAGTTGCTCTACATGAAATCCATTCTGTGTCCCTGTTTTGCCTCCATGTGAAGGAAGTGCAATCTAAGTCATTGTTTCCTCTCCCAGCCATCAGGGCTGTGCAAATGTTCTGGGTTGTTTCAGATGCCAACCTACCAGGCTGGCCCCTCTGTAGCTCCCCAGCTCCACAGACTTCCCTGGACTATGCACTGTGCCCTCTGCATAGTTCCTTCTCACCAGGGGACTGTGTCGTGTGTGGGTTAAGGAACACTTGGTGAGGTTGGGAGCCTAGGTGCTTAGACCCATCTGACATGTCACCATCCCCTTAGGAGCACTGCTGGGCAGTTCAGGTCTTTTTTCTTTTGTGACAGAGTTTCGCTCCTGTTGCCCAGGCTGGAGTGCAATGGCATGATCTCGACTCATCGCAATCCCTGCCTCCCGGGTTCAAGCAATTCTCCTGCCTCAGCCTCCCGAGTAGCTGGGATTACATGCATGCACCACCACGCCTGGCTAATTTTGTATTTTTGGTAGAGATGGGGTTTCTCCATGTTGGTCAGGCTGGTCTCAAACTCCCGACCTCAGGTGATCCACCCGCCTTGGCCTCCCAAAGTGCTGGGATTACAGGTGTGAGCCACTGTGCCTGGCCATGTCCAGGTCTTTGAGCAATGGAGACTCAGAGACCTCTGTCTCCTTATTGTCCCCAGAAAATCCTGCTTCTCCAACTTCACACTTCTCTTGCTCCACCTTCCAAGACTCCTCACACAATTCCTTGTTCTGTGGCTTAACATTTTACAAAAGAGGGGAAGGGCCTTGCCTACTGTCTGCTTCTGCTTTCTGTCTTGTTCCAAAGTGAGGAAGGGCAACTTCTGCCCAGCAACTAGAATTGAGGGGGCAGGAGGGAAAACTAAAGGCAAACAGATAAAGTATAATATTTCAATATATTTTCCTGCCACAGTATGTTATTATTATTCTACCTGAAATAATAACACTACTTTATTCTTTCCCAGCTCCCTTTGACTATGCCTCTCCAACACACAGACACACACACACGAATGCACACACATGCGCACTCCCTTTAAAAAGACATCTGACTAGAACTTTCTCACACCTCTTGGTGCAGCAGAGATCATATTCAATAGCTGCTAACTAGGCTTTCTTGCCCTGTCGCTCTCGAGTTTGTCTCTCCTGTAGGATCATCAGGGTTGCCTGGCAACCACCAGCAGGTCAGCCTTTCACATGGCTTCCTTAAAGAAAATGGCAAAGCTCTCGTTCCTGTTACAGTCCAAGCAAAGCCTAATTAGTGTGAACCGGGAATCAATCGGAGAGGGGAGTGGGGGCTGGTGCAGGATGGTAAAAGGGTGTGAAGTGCACAGAGGAGGGCCTGTTGTGGGCACTTGGGAGCTGCTGTGATAATAGCCATGCTTTCCTAAGGGTCTGTGTCTGAAAATCGCCCACTGACAAAATCGTCATTTCATCTCTTGCCACCTCCGTGATGAAAATGGTGCAGGGCCCACAGCAAGGAGCTGCTTTTCAGGCTGATGTCTGAGCTACCATTGAAGGAACAGGGGATCTTTAACCTGCACGAGGCTCCCTTCGAGGACAAGGGACACGAATATCTTCAAATATTTGGATGCTGAGAGTGTAGAAAAGGGATTAGACTGCTTCTGGTTGGCATGAGAGGGAAGCAAACGTGGGCTCATTAGGAAGGAGTGATTTTGCAAATGTAGGTGGTTCATAAAGGAAAGTAAATTCACTGCAGTACAGGCATGCATGCTGGAAAAGGGTGTGCATGGGTGAGTCTCATGCCTCTGATGTGTCCACCCAGCACAGACAGGCTCTGGAACACCTCACCTTGGACTGGTCTGCATTCCTGAGTGGACACAAATAGCACTGGGTCTGCCCCACTGTCATAGTTCAGGCTGCTATAACAAAACACCATAAGCTGGGTAGCTTATACATAATAGAAACTGATTTCTCACAGTTCTGGAGGCTGGAAGTCCAAAGTCAAGGTGTTGGCAGATCCAGTGTCTGGTGAGGGCTCAATTTCTGGTTCATAAATGGAGCCTTCTAGCTGTGTCCTCACATGGTGGAAGAGGCATAGCAGCTCTCTGAGGCCTCCGTTATAAGGGCACTAATCTCATTCATGAGGGCTCCACCTCCATGACCTAATCACCTCCCAAAGGCTTCACCTCCTACCTTCACATTGGGGATTAGATTTCAACACATACATTTTGGAGGGGACACAAACATTCAGACCATAGCACCCACCCATACCCTCTGCTCTAAGGAACCACCACTCCCTGGTCCCCAGTGGCAAGTGTTGAGTAGCTGTTGATGTCCTTTGCATGCACCATGGGAATTCCAACCCAGTGTCTCCTGAGCCCACAGGTACAGTTGGGGCCATGCTGCTGCTGAGGGCACTGACCACAGAGTCAGGGTTGGGATGATCTCAAAGGATGGATGTTAGAAAGGAGTGACCTACTCTTGCTGCAGTGGGTGGCAGCACCTGCATGGGTCAGGCCAAGTCATATAAGCAGGACTTCTGCAGTTGAAATGAGGAGCCAAGGCTGGCCGGGTGTGGTATCTCACGCCTGTAATCCCAGCACTTTGGGAGGCCAAGGCGGGCGGATCACCTGAGGTCAGGAGTTTGAGGTCAGCCTGGCCAACATGGTGAAACCCCATCTCTACTAAAAATACAAAAAATTAGCCAGGCATGGTGGTGGGCACCTGTAATCCCAGCTACTCGGGAGGCTGAGGCAGGAGAATCGCTTGAACCCAGGAGGCGGAGGTTGCAGTGAGCTGAGGTTGCACCACCGCACCCCAGCCTGGGTGACAGAGCAAGACTCTGTCTCAAAAAAAATAAAAAGAAATGAGGAGCGGAAATCCTGGGGTGGGTGAGGGGAGGTGAAGGGAGAGGACAGGGTGCCAGGCAACATCAAAGTTTATTTCAGGTGCTAGGTGTGACAGGGTAAGGTGAGGACAGGGGAAGCAGGAGAAGCCAGCTATTACATGGTAATGAGCACTGCCATTTGGTGTGTGCCTTCAATGTGCCAGATGTTGCCATTTAATCATCTTAATCGCAACAACCAGTAAGACAGGCAATATCATCCCCACTTTGCAGGTGAGGAAACTGGGGAGCAGAGAGGCCAAATGACTCGTCCACAGTGACATAGAAAATGGCAGGGTCAAGATGCAAATACAGATGTGCTTTCCTCCAAATTCCACCTCTTTTCCCCCTTCTACTGCCTTGCCCTGAGCAGCCAGAGATCCAGCCACTAAGGTTACAGTGACGCACACACAGCCTAGGCCCCTTGGTTGCAAGGGTGGTGTTGCTACTTTTGAGAGTTTAGTATCACTCAATTGTGCCTTTTGTTTTTAAAAAATAGATTTATTTATTTATTTTTGAGACAGAGTCTCGCTCTGTTGCCCAGGCTGGAGTGCAATGGCACGATCTCGGCTAACTGCAACCTCTACCTGCCGGGTTCAAGCAATTCTCCTGCCTCAGCCTCCGAAGTAGCTGAGATTACAGGCATGCTCCACCACACTTGGCTAATTTTTTGTATTTTTAGTAGAGACGGGGTTTCACCATGTTGGCCAGCCTAGTCTCAAACTCCTGACATCAGGAGATCCACCTGCCTCGGCCTCCCAAAGTGCTGTGATTACAGGCGTGAGCCACTGCACACGGCCTATTTTTCTTCAAAAAACTTATTAATAGAAGGATAAGGAAGAGATAGCGAGAGAGACAGAGAGAACATGGATAAAGGACACTTAAGTGTAGAGCTTGATGGTGTTTTATAAATGTATAACCATCATCTGGGCCAGGATACAGAACATTTCCAGCAACCCCAGTTGTGTTTTTCTTAACACAAATCAGAACTCAATTGGAACAGCTAAACATATACATTAACGGGTCACGTGCTGCTAGATAGCGCCTAACAAGATCTGCTAACATAGGTACTGTGCTTTCTCCTCAAATGCTATGGTTTCCAGAGCCCAGAAGAGGGGATGAGGTGATTATACTGGAGATAAGATTCTGAAGCCCAGCATTTGAGATGATTAATGATCCCTGGGCTGCTGCTCCAATTTAGTCTGATATGAAGAGAAGAAAAAGCCGTGGTTAAATTCTCCCTGTTCCAGCCTCACTACTACATTGCTCTGTTATCTCAGTGAGGTCAGAATCAACCTGTGTTTAAACTCCAGGCAGCCTTAGCGGGGGCCCCCACCCCTGCTACATTGCTGCTAGGGAGCCATCTCTCAAAAAAATAAAGAAGGATTTCTGAAGTGTTACCTGAGGACCCAGAATGCTGCCTTGCAGCACCTGGGGCTTGGCGGTGGGGTGGCTGGGGGACACTCATTCTCCCCAGCAGGTGTCCTGGGACCCCTGCAGCCCACTGCCTTTGAGGAGGTGGGCAAAGAGGCCTGTGTGGCCCGGTCTAGAGGATAAAAGTGCCAGATGGCCGGGCAGGTGTTCCGGCTGACTTAACAACCTTATCAGATGCACTGTGGGGCCCAGCCCCCAGCAGATAGTAATGATTTGTGAAAGTGGCAGGGGAAGGCGTCCCCACTGCTCCCTTCCCTCTTCCTACCTCTTCAACTTGCCCCATGTTGGTGACAGGGCATCTAGTGGTTCACAGCAGCTGACTATCCCTCTGACCCATGCTAGGTTTCTGGCAGAGGTTGCTAGCCACATCCCTAAAAGGACCTTGGCTGTCTGTCTCCCAAGCTTGCCACTTATAGACTGGCAGGGGAATGGACTCTGGAAAGTCACCCCACTGGCTGGCCACAAGGACAGATTCCTGGGAGAGCTGCCCGGGTGATTGCCCTTACTGTGGTCACACTGAATGGCACTGACATTCCCAGGTACCTACACTCTTTTCTGGCCTCATGTGCTGGACCCAGGCCTCTAGCATTTTAGTTTTGTCACATCGGAGATGCTCAATGGGGTGGAGGAAAGACAAGAATAACTCTGGGTGGCCTCACCCATAGAAGAGGTGGCCAAACTTCATGCCTAATTACTGCGGGTATTGGTTACATATCGCAAATATCAACTTTTTATTCCAAATGCTCATCCTAGCCATCTTGAGACAGAGCTCAGCTGCTTTATAAATATACCTAAAATGATGTCTTTTTCCTGTATTCAGCCATTGAGGACTAGGAAGACTGGATGTCCCCAAGGCCCAGAATCTCCCCGGCACCCCTGTTCCCATAAAAGACAGAAAGGAGTTTCCAGGTCAAGATGTTACCCTGAACACATGTGGTTTCTTCCTGCCCCTCCCAAAATTGCATGGTAAAGGCATGGACATACAGAAGGAAGTGGACACATAGTGATGAGGAACACAGGAGGAGAGATCAGAAGGCAGAACGCCATCAGTAGTACTGAGCCAAAGTAGCTGAGTGCTCTCAATGCTGCAGAGGACATAGTTGTCACATCCCCAGAAAAGCTTCAAATTCAGAGCCCAATAAAAAGAGTGACCAGCTGCTCAGCATCTCTTCTAGGCAGAAGCATGAGATCTTGCCTGGGGACCAGGAGCGTGGACTCCTCGTGTGTTTGATGGTGCTCTAAAGCAGTGGCTCTCAAACTTGATCACACATTAGAATCCTCTGAAAGCTCCAAAATACCCCAAATCTATTAAATTAGACTATCTGGGGATGGGACCCAGGACCTAGTATTTTTAAAGCTCCTCAGTTGAGCCCACTGGGCAGCCAAGGTTGGGAACCACTGCCCTAGGGTGCATTCTTCTTTCAGGCATGAAGACAGGGTGAGTTAGCCTGTTCCCTGCCTGCCACACTTAAGAGAAGCCTGCTGGCCAATAAGAGGGGGCTCCTTGGCTGCACTTACTGCTGTCCTTCCCCAGCCTTGCTCTCCTCCCCTGGAAGCATGGGCCAGTCTGTGGGCTCTCTCACCTTCCTGACTCCACTCTTCTTGCCTGTCCTCCCACTGCTCCTGGAATGATCTTCCTAAGAACCAACTCTAATCCTATCACACCCTCACTTTTCACTACCTGCAGAGCAAGTCCTAGCATAGAGACTCTTCTAAAGATTCCTACATCTTTCTTTCTAACCTAATTCCCTTCCTCATCCTTATATTCCAGTCAATCTGAAGACAAGGGCTCCCCTTGTTTTTGCTTGTGTCTCCTTCCCTCACCCCACAGCCCTAGCATTTAGGCAGGTGACCTTCGCAGGGAAGATGTTCACATAAAGACCTTACTGAGCTGGATTGAGTTGAGCAGAACACAATGTCTCTGGGCTGCAGAATGAAGGAAACATAATTTGTTTTCACTGACAACGGCCATGAATGACCTTGTTTTGAGGGAGAAGGGAAATAACAAGCAGCTTGAAAACAACATTTTTCTAAACCTACCATTTTTTGCTGTTATTCATGTTTTAAATTTTACATTTTTTTTAATTTTTAAATTTATTTTTTAAAGACAGGGTCTTGCTCTGTTACCCAGGCTAGAGTACAGTGGTGAGATCATAACTCGTCTCTACTAAAAAATACAAAAATTAGCCAGGCATGGTGGTGGGTACCCATAGTCCTAGCTACTCAGTAGGCTGGGGCAGGAGAATTGCTTGAACCCAGGAGGCAGAGGTTGCAGTGAGCCAAGATTGCGCCACTGCACTCCAGCCTAGGCAACGGAGTGAGACCGTCTCAAAGAAAAACAAACAAACAAACAAAGAAAAACAATTTGTTTAAACAAGCAACAAAAGAAACATCAGCCACAATCCCTTACCCAAGCATGACCATTTTGTACTATTTCATTTTGGGCATGGTTCTTCCCATATGTTCTTGTTGACATATTGTATTTATTTATTTATTGTTTTCAATTTTTATTTTAGGTTCAGGGATACATGTGCAGGTTCGTTATGTAGGTAAACTTGTGTCACAGGGCTGTATTGTACAGATTATTCCCTCTCCCAGGCACTAAGCATAGTACCTGATTGTTATTTTTCCTGATCCTCTCCCTCCTCTCACCCTGCACCTCCAAGTAGGCCCAAGTGTCTGCTGTTCCCCTCTTTGTGCCCATCGGTTCTCATTATTTAGCTCCCACTTATAAGTGAGAACATGCGGTTGGTTTTCTGTTCCTGCGTTAGTTTGCTGAGGATCGTGGCCTCCAACTCCATCCACGTTCTTGCAAAGGACACAGTCTTGTTCTTTTGGTATCTGTCCAGTTTGGGTTCTACTCTGGCACTTATTTCATCATAAACTTATAAAATATTATGCCTTGGTTTTCATCACCATTGGCTTTGGCTGCTGCTTAATGTCCCCTGAGGGCCTTCGTGGAGTTTCTGAGCTATTCCTCGCTGTGGGACATGTTAATTGCGATGGCATGACACTGTAATTCCTTTCAGTGTAATAGTCCTTCCCCTAAGCGTAATAGTGTAATAGTCCTAAGCATTGACACTGTAATTCCTTTCAGTGTAATAGTCCTTCCCCCCAAAGTTGCTTTTCTTTTCTTTTCTTCTTTTCGTTTCTCTCTTTTATTAGAAAATAAACTTGCTCTTTAATGGGGAATGGGAGAGAGGGCTGTCTGCGCAGGAATGAGGGTAGGGTGTCTGTGGGCTGAGTCAGCTTTGGGCTCCTGGTTCTGATTATGCAGCTCATGTATGGTGTCCTTGCTATCAGGCAACGTGGCCGCTCCATAACCCACAGTGCCCAGGGCATAGCACCTGGAGGATACCAGCAAGTAGGCGGGCAGTCACCACAGGACCTCCCAGCAGGACAAGGGCAGCTCCAGGCCCAGGGCTCCCATGGTCAGGGCCAACCAGGTAGAGCCCAGGATCACCAGTTCCCAAAGCCATTGTGCTAATTTCATCATGGTCACTCTTCGCACCGCATCTCCTCAGGTTGCTTTTCTATCTCATCAGCAACCTTCTTCAAAACCTGCCTCCCTAATCTGTCATGAGATTAGAGTAAGAAATTTTAAAAAAATAGAAAAGAAAGAAAATCTTGCCTCTGAAGTGCAATGCATCTTCCAGAAGGTGCTTGTGCTTTCTCAGCTACCATCCCCTCCTACTGACTCCTCTCCCCAGAGCCATGCATCAGGCCCCACTAAAGACCCCTTCTTCTTAAAGACTTTCCCAAACTGAGGAGCACCTGGGCTGGGCTGTCACCTGCTGTATGCGTCCACGTGGCCTTGTGCTTCCTAACCAGCACTTTCCACATTTCATTCTGTTTCATGGTGTGAATTACTCACCACTGTATCCTCAGCAAGTGAAAGGAAGGACACAGGGGGACAGGGAAGGAGGGCATGCCCTAGCTCCTCCTAGGGCCTCTGGTGGCCTGTGGCCTGCAGGTGAAAGGGAGGTCAGTCCTATGGTAGTCATCCCCATTAGCCTTCTGCCCTTACAGCAGGTCCAAGCTCTACCATTCTTGGGCTTCCAGACCCCAGCACAGTGTGGTGTCTCGGGGGAAAGCTTGTGTCTCATAGGTGGGCAAGCTACCCCCACTCCTCTGGCTGCTCCAGCTGCCCCCATTACAGGGCATCGCTGGTTGGGGCCAGGAAGGACTGTTTGTTCAATTCTAACAACACAGGGGCTATTACCAGTGGCGCTGGAGGGGAGGAACAGCTGTTCCATCTCCCAAGCTAGTTCCAGCCCCCCTTACCTGATCGCCTCCCTAGGTTTTATCGAATCTCCGTGTCTTGCAATTACCTCTAATTTCATTGCCTTCATTGCGAAGAAGAGCGCTTTTCCCTGCAGCTAAGATTTTCTTATATTCCCTGGGCTTTGCCTCTTCAGCCCCCAGCCTCTTCTTTACACTCCCAGCGAACGACATGAGCAGTCATTTTCTGGGACTGGAGCTCTGCCTGCACCCCTGCCCTGGCCACTCACACCTCAGCCGTGCTCCCCTGTCCTGCCCCTGAGAGCAGAAACCAGAGAGTGGAGGCCCTATGGCAACCCAGGGGCCTCCAGTTTAAGGAAAATGCTTCACAGGGCTTTGCTCTATGGTCCAAGCAGCTACTCCCTCTGGAAAGAAGGTTTTGATGTGCTTCCTCCTTCTCGTTCCTCTCCAAAGACCCTCCTCCAACCCCATATCTCAGGCAGATCTAGGAGGTAAGGACCAGGTTTCAGGACTGGCTTATTTCATTCATCCAACAAATACTTGTTAGGTCTTTAATATGTGCTAGCACTAGACAATCAAAAACTACTTATTTAACACAGATTTTATTCTCAGCACAGTGTCTGATACTCATCCCCTTCCCTGAGAATGAATAGGTACCAGAGGCAGTGGGAAGAGAGTATCTGAGAAAGACTGAAGGCTGCAGGGTCACCAAAGATAAAGAAAAGACCCTCCTGGTTAGTGAGCATTTAGTCGAGGGCATGAGGGGAAGGTATGTCTTCAAACAGTGGTGCTCAAAGCTGCAGTGTGCTATGATAGGGTATAGCTGCAGACACGGTACCTGCCTTTGAGAAGTTTCAAAACTAGGGCTGGGCACAGTGGCTCCCTCCTGTAATCCTGGCACTTTGGGAGGCCGAGGCAGGCAGATCGCCTGAGCTCAGGAGTTTGAGACCAGCCTGGGCAACATGGCAAAACCCTATCTCTACTGAAAAAATCAAAAAATTAGCCAGGCGTGGTGGTGCGTGCCTGTGGTCCCAGCTACTCGGGAGGCTGAGGCAGGGGAATCGCTTGAGCCTAGGAGGCAGAGATTGCAGTGACCTGAGATCATGCCATTGCACTCCAATCTGGGCAACAGAGTTTCAAAACTACCTGGGCATAGAAGCAATCATGCATTGAATACCTAATCAGGTCCCGCACTGATGGAGGTAATAGTCATCCTTGCTTTAGAGATAAGAGAAATGGGCCTCAGAGGCTCTCTCCCTTTCTCCTGCTGTAGCCCACCTGACTCTCTGTGCTTCAGGAATGCCAAACTGTGCTTTGTTCTCTGCAGATACTATGCTGTTTTACATCTCACTACCTTTTCCTGTGCAGTTCCTATTGCCTGGAACACCATTCCTTCAGCATCTTCTATAGCATCTATTCTGGGAGTGCTAGGTTAAGTGCCCATCCAACTGTTGGTGAGGATCTCTCAACTAGACTGCAGGCTTCTCTGAGGCAGGAATCGTGACTTTGTCACACTGGTCCTGCCACACTTGGCCCAGTGCCTGCTGCAGAGTCAGGGTTCTCAAATTATTGGCTGAAGACAATAAATATGTACAGTCACCTGTCTTAAGCAGCACAGCTAGCATGAGGCAAAATAGGCTTTGAACCATGGTTGCCCCTCACATAAGGCACCTTTGTGTGCATTAGGAAAAGACTCCCCCTCTGAGTGGGTGCACTGCAAAAAGGCAAGTCTTCTGGGAAGACCAGCTGGGAAAAGGCACTCCTTCCTTGGCTGATGCAGCCCTGGGCCAGGTCTTGGGGCTTGGCTGAGCCAGCGAGTAGATTTCAGCCCTGACTCATGCTTCTTGGGCATGATGACCCAGCTCAGGTATAGCCTGTTTGAACCCAAGTCAGCCTGATACTGAAACCCACACTTTTCTTTGCCATGTGAACAAGAGCAATGTGCCCTCAAAATATTTTCAAGCCAAGAGAAAGCTGTGTGTGTGTGTGTGTGTGTGTGTGTGTGTGTGTGTGTGTGTGTGTGAGAGAGAGAGAGAGAGAGAGAGAGATTGATTTTTGGCAAGAGATTTTGCTATTTTTGGTAAAACAGCAAAAGCCCCAAACAGCCGGTGCCATGTTCCTATGAGCTCAATCCACAAGTTATTCTTTTCCCCCAAATCAAGCAGAACAATACTCATCCCTTTGCCTGAGCACAAATAGGTGCCAGAGGCAGTGGGAAGAGAGTATCTGGGAAAGACTGAAGGCTGCAGGGTCACCAAAGATAAAGAAAAGCCCCTCCTGGGCAGTAAGCATTTAGTCGAGGGCATGAGGGGAAGGTATGTCTTCAAACGCTGGAGTTCAAGACAGCAGTGCACTATGATCATGCCTGTGAATAGCTACAGCACTCCAGCCCGGGCAATATAGTGAGAACATGCCTGACTCTAAAAAATTTGGATTTGAAATCCGAAGGCTGCGGAAATGCAAGCAGAAACTGAGCATGTTTTGCAAACAGCAATAAAGGATTTAGCATGAGGAAGTGAGCCTTGCAAAGCAAGAATAGGGTAGGGGATCCAAAAAAGGGTCAAGTGAAACTGTCTCAGTTTGTGTATCTGTAAAATGGGGATGATACTACCCACCTCACGGAGTCCTCACAGATGAAATTCAATAATATAGGTGAAATGAGTAGCATCTGGCATATGGTAAACATTTACTAAATGGTGATTGCAATTATTTTGATTAACAGGTTGGTGATGATGATGATGATGATGGGGGTGTTGTTGCTGGTGGTGTAATATTTAGGGTAATGAATATCTGCCACTAAATGTCAAGGTGAGAAGAGCTCTGCTAGCCTCTTCTAGAAAGAGAGAAAGAACAAGAGCCTCTCATCCTGCTTTTGTTCCCATCCACTCCTCTTGCGGCTAATGCAGATAGTGAGCAGAGTTGCTAAAAGCCTTGGCAGAAGAACCACAGGAGGACTGAAATGAGTGGAGAGAAAGCTCTCCAGTCCTTCAGGCCCTGCTGCCTGTCACTCCATCTTCCCACTCCCTGGGGCACCCTGCATGAGAAGGATGGAGGAGGCAGAAGCATGGGGATACAGTGGGGGACTTAGCGCTCTTCCTAGGGTGAGATGACAATGGAAGGGAGGGCCAGGAATGAGAAGTTGGGACAGTTGAGATGGATGCCAAAGGGCTGTGGAAATAAAATGGGTCCTCTGGTGTGCTTGAAGCCTATACCACCGATGCCGCCCATTTGTAAAAAGATTGTTATTTAGTATTCCACGAATATTTACTGAGTGCGTATGTACCTGTCACTGTGGTAGCTTGGAGATCAGTAGTCACAAAACAGAGATGGTCTCTGTATTTGTGGAGCTGACTTAACTTTAAGCCCAAATACTTGATTACTTTTTGAGCAAAAGTAGACACAGTTACTTAGGCCAAAAACCTTGGGATATCCTTGTCTCTTTTCTTTCTCTCACACTGCTGATCTAATCCACTGGCAAGGCCTATTGGCTGTATCCTCAATATGCACCCCAAATCTGACCATTTCTCACCACCTCCACCTCTATCACCCCAATCCAAGCCACTGCCATCTCTTGCCTAGACCACTGCTGTAGCTACTCCTCTGCTCAATGCCCTCCCTGGCTCCTTATCTTACTCTGAATTGAAGGGAAAGTCCTTGCAGTGACTCACAATGCAGTCGTCATCTTGCCTCTGATTGCCCCTTTAACTCCGTTGTACTATGGTAGCAATAAGAGCTGGAAGAATGAAATGAAATCCACTTCCTGGAAAAGGCAAAGAGGGAAGACAAACTTCGGCCTCCTTTATCACTAGCAGATTTTCCAGGAAGCGCAGTGATGGACTCTTACATGGGACCCTGCCTTAAACTGACAGATAACAAGAACAGTAACGGAAGGTCAGAGCATTTTAAAGACATCACTAGAAATATGGTTAAAAATTAAAGATAAGCCTCACACAGGGAAAAATATATTTGCAGTCCCAACAAAAGATCAATATCCAGAATATATAAATAGCTCCTGTAAATCTTTAAGAAAAATAATCCCAGTGGAAAAATGGGCAAAGGATTTGCAAAGGCAACTCACCTACCTTTAAAAAAATAAAAATATAAAAGGAACGGTCTCTTGGGGAAAAAACTTACAAACCAAGGATCATTAGAGAAGAGAAGGCATAGGCCCTGTTCTATTCTCCTGATACCACCATGCTGGGAAAAGGGCAGTGTGGGTCTACACTCCAGCAGAGGGAATTCTTCTTATTGTTTTATCTTCATGTAGGTCAATCATTAATGTACATTTATCTACGAAGATATACACAAGCTGCTTGAGTGCCGGGCAGGCTGGAGGGGAGAGTCCTTTTTGCTGTTATTATGGAAAGTTTCAAATGTATACAAAAGTAGAGAGAAAAGTACGATGAACTCAGTGTCCCAGAATGCTTTTGGCTTAAACCACTACACTCCTCAAGGGAAGGCTCCCCTGCAAGAAATCAGAAGGCTTCCCCATGGTGGGCAGAGGTGGGGAAGGGTGGGCTGTGGAGGGGTGACAGGGTGTTGGGATGAACCTTGAAGAGGAGCAGCATCTGACAGGCTGAATGGAGAAATGGGAGGATTGCAGCCCACTCAGGGCTGGCTCTACAGACCATCGGAGCCACAAAGCTGGGGACAATCCGAAAATTAGAACTGTTCCTTTTTTTTTTTTTTTTTTAAATTGAGACATACTCTACACAATTCACCATTTAAAAATGTACAATTCAGAAGGTTTTAATATATTAACAGGTGTGTAACCATTACCATTATCTAATTCAGTACATTTTTCATCATCCCAAAAAGAAACGTCATACCCACTAGCAGTAACTCCTTATTCCCCTTTTCCCTTACCCCCAGAAACCACTCATCTACTTTCTGTCTCTACAGATTTGTCTATTCTGGATGTTTCATATAAATGGAGTAATACAATATGTGACCTCTTGTGACTGGCTTCTTTCACTCAGCAGAAGGTTTTCAAGGTCCATCTTGTTGTGGCAAGTATCAGTACTTCATCCTTTTTTAATACTGAATAATATTCTAT